>NC_000013.11:68711136-68862651 GCF_000001405.40 Homo sapiens | reverse complement strand
AGAAATAGAAAATCTGAACAGATCAATAATGAGTAGTGATATTAAATCACTGATAAAAAATCTTTCAACAAATAAAAGCTCATGGCTGAATGGATTCACTATGGAATTCTACCAAACATAGAAAAAGGAAATAGTACCAATCCTTCTCAAAGTATTTCAAAAAACTGAAGAGGAGAGAATTCTTTCTAACTCATTGTAAGAGGCCAGCATTCCCCTGATACCAAACTAACCAGAGGCCTAACAACAACAAAAATACTTACAGGTCAATATCCCTCATGAAGATAGATGCAAAAATTTTCAATAACATAATAGCAAATAAAATTCAGCAGGACATCAAAAAGATAATACATCATGATCTATTGGGATTTTTCTTAAGGATTCAAGGATGGTTTAACATATGCAAATCTATTGAAGGGATGTATCACATCATGAAAATGAAGACAGAAACATATACTCACAATAGATGTAGAAAAAGCATTTGATAAAATTCAACATCTCTTCATGACAAAAACTCAATGAACTAGACATATGAGAAACATACCTCAGAATAATAAAGGCTACATATGACAAATCCACAGCTAATGTCATTCTGAATGGGAAAGGTTGAGAGTCTTTCCTCTAAGCACTAGAATAAAACAAGAATGTTCACTTTCATCACTCTTTTTCAACTTAGTATTAGGAAGTCCTAGACAGTCCAATCAGGCAAAACAAAAAATAAAAGATATCCAAATTGGAAAAGACAATGTTAAATAGTTCCTATCTGCAGATGAAATAATGTTATATTTACAAAAACCTAAAGACTACACCAAAATAACTCTTAGTGCTTAAAAATAAATTCAGTACAGTTGCAGAAGACAAAATTAACATATACAAGTTAATAACATTTCTATACAATAATTAAATAGTTGAAAAATAAATCAAGTTGGTAATCCTATTTCCAGTAGCTACAATAAAAACAAAATACCTAGGAATAAATTTAACTAAGGAGGTAAAAGATCTGTTCAAGGAAAACTATAAGACATTGATGAAAAAATTGAACAAACAAATGAAAAGACATCTTATAGTCATGGATAAGAAGAATTAATATCCTTGAAATGACCATACTACCCCAAATAAAATACACATTCAATGCCCTCCCTATCAAAATACCATTGTCATTTTTCACAGAAATAGAAAAGCAATCCTAAAATTTTTATGGAACCAAGATGTAGTCGGAATAGCCAAAGCAATCCTAAGCAAAAAGAACGAAGTTCAAAACCTCACACAAACTGACTTCAGATTATAAGGCTATAATAATCAAAACAGCATGGCATTGGTATAGAAATAGACACAATGGGACAGAATAAAGCACCCAGAAATAAATCCAAATATTTAAGATTTTTAACAAAGGAACCAAGAACATACGTTAAGGAAATGATACCCTCTTCAATAAATTGTGTTGGGAAAATCAGCTATCCATATATGGAAGAATTACCTGGACTCCTATCTCTCACTATACACAAAAATTAACTTCAGATAAAATAAATAATTAAATGTAAGATGCAAAACTATAAAACTAATAAAAGAAAACAGAATAAACACTTTAGGACATTGACTTAGGCAAAGATTTTATGGCTAATACCTCAAAAGCACAAACAAAAATATACAATTGGAACGATGTTAAACCAAAAGGTTTCTTTACAGCAAAGAAAATAATCAACAGAGTGATGAGAAAACGTTTTTCATAGGAGAAAAAGTTGCAAACTACTCATCTGGCCAGCAACTAATATATAGAATATATAAGGAATTCACACAACTTAACAATAGAAAGAATAATCCAATTAAAATATAAGATAAGAACACGCATAGTCATTTCTTTAAAAAAAAACATGCAAATGGCCCACAGGTATATACAAAAATGCTCAACATCACTTATCATTAGTAAAATGCAAATCAAAACCCCAATGAGATATCACCTTACCATAGTTAGAATGGCTGTTATTAAAAAAACAAAAAAAATAGCAGATGGTGGCAATGAAGTGGTGAAAAGGTAACTCTTATACACCCTTAGTGGGAATGTATGTTAATACAAGCACTGTGGGAAACAGTATGAAAATTTCTATGAAAAGCAAATAAAAGAACTACCATACAATCTAGCAATCCCACTCCCAATTATCTATTCACAAAACAAGCTTTCTTATACAGGTATCTCAAAGAGGTACGTGTACTTGTCCCTCCCCTGACATGTGGGGATGACAGTTCAAGATGAGATTTGGGTGGGGAAACAGAGCCAAGCCATATCAGTGAGTGAGTCAAATTTATAGCTGTATAGAAGCAATAAAATAAGTCCTAGTGTTTAATAGAATAATAGAGTGACTGTCATTTGCAACAATATATATTTCAAAGTAGCTGGAATTGAAGACATGTTACAAACACATAGAAGAGATAAATACTCAATATGATGAATACCCTCAATAAGCTTTCTTGATCATTACATATCCTTTGCTTTTAAAAGCATTCACATTACTCCATAAATATGCAAAATATTATCTATCAATAAAAGAAAAATAATATTTTCAAGTATGACTACTTCAATTATTTCCTCCTGAAATAGTCATAAAATATATAGGTCATGGAGCACAATTTAGTGGGATAATAATAAGTAGCTTGAGTATCATAAAAATTATGTTTTAAATGTTCAGCTCCCCACTTCCTTACTAGCTGTATGATCTTAAAAAGGCAAAATAACTTCTCTGATTCTCAGGTTTTGGTGTGTAACACAATGTCAATATGTTCTGAATGGTCCATGAGGCTTAAAAAAGCTGAAAGCAGATAGAAAATATTTCTACGCTCTCTGCTGTATAGTGAAGCATTATTAATACACACAGGTATGTGTGTGCACATGCACACACAGACACACACACAATTTAGTATCACTTTCCTTGAGTTGTCTTCTCAAATGGATTATTCCTATTTACTCCCCACAGGGAAAAGAGATAGGTTGAAAAACAACAGGGACAATCAATATAGAATTATATTTTTATGATCAACATTTTATAATTTTTCTATATTCTTGCCTAAAGTTATTTTGCTATGTTCACTAACAAACTTTATTAGAAAAATACATATCAGAACTAAAGCATTCTTTGAGATGTTGTATTCAAAAACAAGTTGTATATGGCCGTGTTTTTATTGTTTGTCAAAATTTAATATGTTCTTGTAGTATCAAGTAAAACAATAAAATACAGCATTTTATCATGCAGTCAAATTATACTAGAAATGAGAGTGCAATGATCTTTTACCAAGCCAAATATAAAGATGATAAAAGTGTATATGGTTTCTGTTGATTCTAAATGTCTAATTATCTCAGAAAGTTATGATGGAAAAGTTCTACCTCAGACTTATTTTAGTGTATATTATAGGATTATTGGATGAATTTCTTCACTTTTATAGAGAATGAGATGCATAGTAAACTTTGAAACAGTTGCTAAGATGTCTATCTTTAAAACAAAATAGAGATTATCTCTTTCAAAATAAAAGAATGCACATGAAAAGTACTTATAAAATGTTTATAAAAATATATTACTTCCACAGAGCAGTTCTCAAATCATGGGTGTGCACTAGGTTTTTATACCTTTTTAAATCACCTTTAGCTCACTGCCACTTTTCCGTCCACCCCCTTCTTAATTACTGCATCTGCCTCTCTCTCACCAGCAATTATTTCTAGTATGTGATTGCAATATAATTTTTTCTTTAGTTTTTCTGAACTTTGGCATTTTATTACTGTGTTAAATCTCAAGTTATTGTTTTGGTGTAATAGTCTTAGTATATTGTTTAATTGGACATTTTTTCTTGTTTCTTTTTTCTTTTTGATGTTATTTGATTAAGTGAGATGATGACAAGAATAGGTAAAACAGCTGGAGTTGCAGTAGATTTAAGTACATGGAGAAGAATGAGACTGATTCCTAGGAGAAACACCAATAGGTAGAAGACAGAGAGTGATTCTCCACACACCTAAATTAAGTTAGTTACACTTTGTATTTTGCAATAATGTAATTATAGGGAGAATTCAGAAACATATTAATACAACATCTTTATGTGACATTAACACAAATTCACCCAACCTGTAAAACATGTATCAGTCTACTTGTAAATCAGATAACACATCCCTGGATAGCATAGCTTTCAGAGTCATTCAAAAAGTGCCTATTGATTTTTTCCCCTTATTTATGTAAAAGTTGCTGTGAATATGTTTCAATTTAAAGGCCACTCTCTTTGTTTTTTGACATATTGAAAACATTTTCCTACTTATAGTATTTGAACATTTTGACAATAAATTCTTACTTGACATAGTATAATTTCCATAATGCATTTTAAGCTAGCCACAGAGATACTAAGATACAGTTACATAATAATGAATCTGGGTGGATAAGTCATAACTTTCACACGAATAAATGGTTAGGTCTCTAAAAATACCAAAATGCCTATTGATTCAAAATTTCAATGCTTCTTTATAGGAATAGTAGTATCTATCTCATAACACAGCTACTGTTTGAAAAAATAAAGTACAGGAGAAAAATTACTCTCTAAATTGAAAATACAATAAGTACCTTGATGATTTTATTTAATATTTAACATTTTAGTGAATTTTTCTGATCATTCCTTGAGTATAAGCAGTATTTTAAAATGCATTCTCTGTATCTTTATTGTAGATTCTCTTAAAAGAGTGTGATGTTTTCATTTGAAATTATCAGGACTTCCTGACCCTACTTATTCTCCAAATGAAATAATATTTATATTTTAATGTTCTAATGAATTTAAAGGAGATAAGTCCTGCATTTTTAACCACAAATATTTGCTTGTTTTGAAAGATGCTTCATATTTCTAATATTCTCTCATGCCAAATCTACCTTTTGAAAAAATGCTCAGAAATTGATTTTTGTATAAAACAGTATTATTTCTTATTCAAGGGTTCCTGAAAGCGTATCTATTTGAACCACATACATATAGGGCACTGTTGAGGAAAAATACCACTAGAAGAGTTTTTATTTTCACTTTAATTCAAAAAGATTCTTTTCATTGTTTTTAGCATAATAGATTGTATTTGACATTGTCTGAGTGCTTTCTGAATAGTTTATTTAATAACGAGCATTTTGCATATTTTATCTCATTTATTTGTCAAAACAATTCTTTGAGCTAGATATTATTAGTCTCATTTTTCAGGAAAGGAAATTGAGGTGTTAAGAGTTTTGAACAACTTTACCAAATAGATAGCTCATTAATAATTAGAGTTGAAAGGTTTATGATACCCAAGTGTGTTTTATGCACATATAATTTTTGTATATTAGTTGTGTCAGAGTCTAATCAAAATCAAAATCAATAGCTGATCAGGAAATTGGGAAATAGGAAAATAGAGAAAGGGGGGAAAATAAAATGGTGATCACTTGTGGAATCACTGAAGATAGATTGGAATCCAAATTGTTTTCTTCCACTTTGAGGTTTTCAGCTTTGATTATGAGGGGATTATGAGTGAAAGTTGAAACTTTCACTGTGGGTCTGATAATTCACATAATTGCAGAGTCAAAGAAGCTGAAGGAGGAGATTCAGCAGGAGCTGGACTTCCAACGGATCTTCTGGGTCTAATAAGGGGGAAAAAATGGGAATTCAGAGGGTAAGTGGCAATCGGCGTCAGCTAAAACATTTTTGCCCTGCCCCATATTGGAAGTGTAAGAGTTTGGCTATTTCATTTGCACCTACCAAATCTCACAGAAAATGTCCCTTGTAACTACGTGAATTTAGACATACACAGGGCAAGGAATATTGGAAAAATACACACCCAACTTAGCTATGCTGACACACTGTAAACCTACTACAGTCCACGTATATACAAGTCTGTGGGCTTGTATATATCCCACGTATAGCAATGTTTAACCTCCAAATAAAGACATGGGTACAATCATACCTCTACCAAAGAAAATGCATCTTTTCCTCATAACCAGTAGTTCCTCCTTATCTGTGGGAGATATGTTCCAAGATCCTCAGTGCATGACTGAAACTGGATAGTACTGAACTCTGTATATGCTATGCATACATTTCTTTTTTCTTCTTCACAATTTCATGGATAGAAGATTCATTCTTAGTGTAGATTTTAGCAACTTCAGCATACAATTTTTTAATTTCTTTGTTAAGTCAAGAACTTTCACCTTTCACTTAAATGAAGAACTTTATGTCTTCTCTTTGGCCTATTCAAACTGCCAGCATCTTGTGTTTTGGGGCCATTACTATGTAAAATAAGGGCAACTTGAACACAAGCATTGCAATACTGGGGTAGTTGATCTGATAACCGAGAGGACTACCAAGTGACTAACTGGGGAACCTATAGAGTGTGCAGGTGCTGGACAAAAAGAGCTGGGCACAGTGGCTCATGCCTGTAATCCCAGTACTTTGGGAGGCTGAGGCGAGAGGATCACCTGAGGTCGGGAGTTGAAGAGCAGCCTGGCAAACATGGCGAAACCCTGTCTCTACTAAAAAAAAAAATACAAAAATTAGCTGGGCACAGTGGTAGGTGCCTGTAATCCCAGCTACTTGGGAGGCTGAGGCAGGAGAATCACTTGAACCCAGGAGGCCAAGGTTGCAGTGAGCCGAGATTGCACCATTGCACTCCAGCCTGGGCATCAACAGTGAAAGTCTACCTCAAAAAAAAAAAAAAAAAAAAAAAAAAAAAAAACAAAGATGATTCTCATCCTGGACAGGGTGGAGTGGGAAGACATAAGATTTTCCCACTCAGAAGAGTGTCAAGGTAAAACTTATAAACTGTTATTTCTGTAATTTTTCATTTAATATTTTCAGACCACAGTTGACTGCAGTTTACTGAAATTACGAAAAGCAAAACCAAGGATAATAAGGGGCTACTATAATAATAAAAAATAAAAAATGTGTTCATTGAAAGATGCCTTAAATCTCTCTCCCAAGGTCTCTATATCCATGGGCCTTGTGTTTTTTTCTAGGTTAATTATGTGCTATCCCTCTTTGATGTACATTAACTTAAATACTGAAATTCAAGGTTATCTACTAATAATAGTATTCATGTTATGTGATAGGGTTATGGAAGAGGATAAAATAAAATTATTAATACATGTGATAATATAACCATATAAAATTCAAAATAAGGGATATTCATAATTATTATAGTTCTGGTATCTTCAGGTGGTCATGTGGTTATAACCAGTAATTAAATCTGCCTTCCCTGACTACCCATTTATGTTTTCTTGCACTAAGCAAGCAACTCAGCTAAGTATGGTTCCTTGCATGTTGGGTGGTACACATTTTTATTCCAAAAGTTTAAGACTATCAATAGGTTTGCCTGTATTGTGTTGCTATTATTTTCGTTTGGCTTCATAACCAGGAATTGAAATACAATAAGACATCCAGGAGATCCCCTCCATTTCAGACATACTCCTACTTATTCTCATTATGTAGTAGGAATCCAATGTCACTTTGAAAATCAGAATAAATCACTCAAAAATGTGGAGTAATATCTTTTTTTTCCTACTGATTCACTGGCATTGTGGCCATTTGAGCTCATCTTCCAGTTTGGAACCCTGTGAAATATTTTACATGGGTTCTGAAGACACATGCAGCTGAACTTTATGCACAGTTTAAAAATCAAGAGCATGATAAAATGATAATTTTCAGAATATTTTGTAGGATAATTATTTTGAAAGTAGGTATAACTTTGTCCTTTCTTAGATGATAAGTCAATGCAGGTATACCTTTGGCTGCTTTTCCAGGAACTTGAGAAGTCAGATAAAATACATGTTCAATTCTGTTTCAAAGTAGAAGGGCAACTTCTTTCATTTCCCATAGTTGAAAATTATTTTTTAAACTTGGTTCTATTGATATACTAAGACTATGTTGTATAATGGATTCTTGCCACTAGCTACTCTTTTGACATTTCAGAATAAGAATACATTCAAATGCAAAAACATTTGAAAAATTAATTATATACCTAAGTTGAAAATTCCTGAAACACATTCATTTATTCAATCTAAAAATACTTAATTTCCCTTTTTAGAGCTACGATTTGTGTTAATGTAGTGTATAGAGTTGTGCCAAAAAGTGAACATAGCAAGCCTGAGATTGACCATCCTTAGAAAAAACTACAAGTTTGGTACTTGTTTGGTCTCCGGGAACTTGGCTGATAATCCATTCCCTACACTGATATAAAATGCTGATTAAACAAGTGTGTCTGACTGTCCCTAAACTGTTTGCATACGTGGTGTGTTTTGTGCTGAACATGCTTTTCTTCTTTCTTCGATGTGCTAGGCAGAGGGCGCCTATGTGAGTGGGCTCAAATAAAAACCTTGGACCCTAAGATCGCATTTAGCTAACCTACTAGCCAACACTTTGCAGACGTTGTCACATATTTTTTTCAGAGAATTAAGTACTCTGTGTGAAGCAACTGGGAGAGGACATGTAAAACCCTGTGTTTGGTTTTCTCCAGACATTACTCTACCTACCTTTCCTTTTGCGAATTTTGCTTTGCATTTATTTACCGTAATAAACTGTATGAGCATAATGGCTTCTGAGCCCTGCGAGTCCTTATAACAAATTGTAATAATTTCTATAGAGAGTAGCCTAGAATAATAAAGCAGAGAGTCTTGTGAGGTCAAATTTGATTTGGAGGTTAAGTTAAGCTTTTTGAATACCTTCGCACATTAAATTTCTTAGTGTATGAAAAATTACAATTCTCTGGATTCCATTTTCTAAATGGTAGGAAAAAAGCATGGCATTCTCCTGTTAATGCAGATATTGGAGAATAATAATATTTCTCATTGGTTCTATTTTTCCTGTTGAGCTAGGCCTACTTTTTCTACACTATATTGCTCACGTCCCTGCTTATTTCTGTAAAACCTCCTATATGAAATCTTTCATTTAATGAAAAAGGCATGATTTTTCAACCAGTTTTATGTGCCCAATGGTGTGATAGAAACTAAACATACAGAAATACTACAAAGAATTCTTCGTCTTGCAAGAGCTATTCATAAGCAATAGTCAATTACAGTAGGACGTATTAAGTTTTGTCATAATATGAAGTATATAGTGTTTTAGAAACACACAAGAAGTTTGATTAACCACATATTACATAGCTATGGGAGTTTTACCAGAGAAAGTTGGATCCTAAAAGACAACTAGGAGTGAGTCAAATGTAGAGAAGTTTATAACATGTGAAAAGAACAAAGCTCAGTGGTAGCCTATTGGAAGGTTTTAATCTATAACGAGAGAGAGAAGCGGAGAAATGATCATAAGTAATTTTTAGATTGACAAATAAAACTGGAACCTAAATCTCTAGTTAATTTACCTATGTATTAACTGGAGTTGGATACAGAATATTAAACAAAAACCAAAATCGAATACTTCACTCCCATATATCTTGTTATTTGGCGATCAAAAGACTAATGAGGTTGGGCGCTGTGGCTCACGCCTGCAATCCCAGCACTTTGGGAGGCCAAGGTGGGTGGATCACCTGAGGTCAGGAGTTCAAGACAAGCCTCGCCAACATGGTGAAACAACATCTATACTAAAAATACAAAAATTAGCTGGGAGTGATGGTGCGCGCCTGTTGTCTCAGCTACTTGGGAGGCTGAGGCAGCAGAATTACTTGAACCCAGGAGGTAGAGGTTACAGTGAGCCAATATTGTACCACTGCACTCCAGCCTGGATGACAGAGGGAGATGCTGTCAAAAAAAAAAAAAAAAGCTAAAAAAAGGCAAATTAACCCAGGTTAGTGTGACCCAAAGTGTCAACTTCCAACAGATGCCAGCTTAGAGAATATTTGTTAGTACATTGTAAGTATAGAAATTGAGAGTAGAGGGTGAGATACATTTACCACAATTTGAATTTACTATAATATCAAATAACATAGTCAGTGGATTTGAGTCATTGAAGAGGATATTGGTCACTTCAGGTGTTATCAAAGTCGTGGTATCACAGTAAGACCCCACAAAAATTCATGGTATTTTGGTTTATTATTTAGGATATTTGGGTTTGTCACAGTTACATCAAAGATGATTGAAAATCTGAGAAAATAATATTACTCATATAAGTTACTTTCAAGATTATTTTGATTTTATTCAGCTTACTTTTATTTTTAAGTTTAAATTTATCCTCAATTATGGAAATAGAATTAATATTTTTACTTTAATAAGATAAGCATCACTTGATTCACATAGATTTATGAAAATACACTTTTTCATAATGCTTCAGAAGTCATCAATGATAACAAAATTAATTTAGAAGAAAGGACCACCTATGGAGTTCTTTCTAGTCTTACTCAGAAAAACAGTGTTGTACATCTTGAGTTTAATTTTTTAGCCATAATTGATGGTGAAGTGGTAAAATCATCATTCAGTATTTACAGATATGTATGGACTTATTAAACAAAAATCTTCAAAATGTTAAGCATCTTCTATTTAACAAGTCCAGGAAAAAATAAAATCCCTAAAAGTTTCATAAATAAAGAGTATTTGGACAAAGAATTGGACAAAAAGAAATGTCCAATATTCCAAAAGTTAATATGAGTGTTTTGTGAACTCACAAAGTAGCATTCTAGGACACTAAAAACAGGTAGACAGACAGAGATAGATGACAGATGGAGAGATAGATAGATAGATAGATAGATAGATAGATAGATGACAGAGTCTGATAATAGATTCATAATACTTAGATATGTTGATAATATACAGTGGCTGAAGTATTATGGAAAGACTTCATCAAAACATTTATACATATGTAACTTACCTGCACATTGTGTACATGTACCCTAAAACTTAAAGTATAATAATAATAAATAAATAAATAAAACAAATCTACTCCAAAAAAAAATACTGTGTCTTTCTGCAACAAAGAACATAGCTCAAGCATCAACCTTCCTACTACCTCATTAGAACCATCACATCTTCAGAAACTTGCTATGATATGGAAATCCAACTCATAGAAAAAAATCATCTGACAAAGTATTTTTATTTGCAATTCGTTCAAATTTCTTAGTATGAACATGACAAGCCTCTCATATATGTGTAATTTGAAGGCTTGATTTTTTGATATGAATACAGCTATATTCAAGTCATATTTAATATTTAAGATAAAGCAGAAAAAGAGTGGGCTATATTTGATAATAAAAGTAGATATCTAGAGAGTTAGGAAGCAAATCAGAAGTGTTAGTATTCCCAAATTCCGAGTGAATTTAGTATTTCAATCAAGAAGAAATGAATTGCCTATGGTGATACATGATGAACAAGGACTGTAATTACCATGAGGTAAGTCAGTTGGTAATAAGCATTTCATCATGTGTGCTCTTGGTGATAGAAATCAGATTACAATGTTTACAGAATAAATAAGACATTCAAAACTGAAGATGAAAAAAGGAAGTGGTTACGTAGAATTCTGTCTCATGTCTGCCCAAGGTGGGATGCAGAGTGAGTAACCTGATAGAGCAAAACAATGAGCTTAGACAGCTGTTTCTTAATGCTTATTTATATTTGATAAAGGAAGGATGTTGAGAGGAAAATATTAAACATGGGTGTAGTTGATAATTATAAAGAAAATCTCTTGAGGGATTTTAATCATGAACTCAAGTGTAGGTTTTTTGTTTATTTTAGAAAGGAATGAAATGACTAAAATGAGAGAGAAGAAGGTTGAGTGAGAACAGATGCAAGTGAATGTGACAATGATAGCTTGATGCCAATTTCCAGGTTTTATGTAAATGTATGAGGGGTTTCAGATACTCATTCCCTGTACTTTCAGTTGAAAGTCAGCTTTCTGTCACAGTTATATAGGTCTATAATTTTTGTTTTCTATTTGAATATAACTATCAAAGCAAGACTTCAAAAAATATTCTGTATCTAATATCCAGTAGAAGGTATAATACAAACAAATGCTCAGTAAGTCTTCACCAAAAGAATCACTGCAGGCGATTGCTGGTCATGGTATATCATGTCCATGGAGACTGAGCTAAGAGTCAAGAGAACAAACAGTGACAAAACACACTAGCAGGTATATTTGGCATCTGTTCACTATCTAGAAGTAGATAAAGTGGTTGTAATGGAAAGTGAACTCCACATATATTACATGCATATATGCAACACTTACTTTTCCCATATTACAGCTCTTTCAACATATGAAGCATATTAGAGAAAGATTCAGTAGATAAGATGTTTCCATGACACACGCTGATAAATAGAAATGACTCCAAGTAATAAAGTGAAATCTGAAAAGTAGCGGTAACTTGGAAACAATCAAGAAAATGAAAGGAATGTTGTGATCTCATTGAGATATGAATAAATACGTGGCTGAGGTAGAGTGGAAACTTGGCAGCATGTGCAACCTCAGGTCTGTTAGATTTTAAGTAGATTTGAAATTTAAAAGTTTGAAGTCTCATAATGTTAGGACTCAAGGATGCATTTATAAACAAGAAAAAAAAATAGCCTGTTGTACAGATGAGAGCCAGTCTTCCAGATAAGAGAGTTCTGGCCATTTTCAAAACTCAAAAAAACAGTGGAGCCCCATCAAAACAAAGGAGATAAAATAAGGAAATAACCAAACACTATATTTGCACATGCCCACTTAGGAAAATGAAAATAGGTTTGAGACCTATAAATGTGTTTTTTCTTAATGAAAATCCCTGAGAGTTAGATATTTATATAAATCTATCCTTTTTTAAATTTAAAATATTTATATTTAAAATGTCTTATTTTCTGATATTTAACTGGTGCAAATTTCACACTTAAGAGTTCCAGAAGTGCCAGGAAAAGAAACTATGACACCTGGACACATTACTTTACCAGAGGAGATTAATGATAAACTGCACACATAGAGATGCTCATCATGGGAGACAAATCCAACATAGGATGTAGTAAAATGTTATTAATATAAAAATAATTGAATAAACTCGATTGATTGTCCCTCTGCATAATAATGCACCTAGTCTTACAAATAAACTTCAATTAACTATGTAATTACATAATTACACACTGCATTTTCACATCCAGAAAACAAGTGTTTACATTCATAGATTCTCTTTAATTTTTACATGGTATTATTGATGGAAAGGCACTGGATTTTGATGGATGAATATGACAAATTCTTTTCTTTGAGAAGATACAAACCAATTATAAAAAGATGAATACAATCAATAAACTGCTATGTGGAGATTTTAAGTCTTCAAAATCTGTGGATGTGTTTTCAAATTGTTATAAATATGTCGTGGTTGGTAAATAGATTTTAGTCCACATTTTTAGAATAACTATTATTGTATTAGTCAAAACCTGGCTACAAATTATTTTGGCTATTGCAGAAATTAAATAAAACTTGAAAGCTCATTATTTGTCCCAAGTGAAGAAGTTATGTTATTATTTGTATATGTGTAGTGAATTTTGAGTGCAACTTCAACATAAGGCATAGGAAAGATTTATAATAAAGACAAATTGGAACAATACTTAGAACATCCAAATAAAACTGATAACATGCACAATCCATAAAGTTTATGAACATTTTATAACATGTGTAATGGAAGTTTAAAAATATGCAAACAGAAAAGAGAGAAGAATAAAACTAGTAATCATTAAAAATCATAAACTGAATAGCAAAAAATAAAAATTTATCCTAGAGACATTAAATGGCAAAAATTGCTGCAATGGAAAAATTGCTCATTGGAATTGCTCTCCTGGAATGCAAAGGCTAAAGAAAAAAGAAAATAAAACATAAAAGGATAGCCTTTGGATATATTTAGAGAGTAGAGAAATATAATTCAGCCTATTAATAATTGAAATTTCTGAAGAAAATGCATTACAATTGTAAAGTTTGTGATAATACAAATATAATGAGAAAATTGTCACGTTTTAGACACCGTGATTGTCAATTTTTTTAAAAATAACCTATAAGTATTGATGTCATATTTTAATCAAACTTATCATGTTTTTTCACATGGTAGAAGTATTCTGAATATTATCCAGAAAAAGAAATTAATGCAAATGTCAAGTATCTTGAAATAGCATTGAAATGATAGGAAATTTATAATGATAGTAAAATATAACAGTTCCTCACACATGAAAATAATTTATGGGATATTATTTGAATGTTAAAATGAATTACTTGTTTAAAGATAAAATAATTTGAAATTAATATTAGAGCATAGGTAGTATTTAACCATACATTATAACCAGTTCTATAATAAGATATGACACCTTAAAGGGTACCAAAGACAGGAAACTACCTCAATAAAGGAAAAATTATTTTGTGAAAGTCAGGAAACATTTTTAGGAAATGTAAATGTATTAACTCTTCATTATGCATTAAAGCAAACTAAATTCCTAACAATCCCTATTTATCTAAAGATATATTTAAATTTAGTCCTCCTTAGTCTTCCTTTTCAAGTCCTGGCTAAGTGATTTAAATTGATACATGAACTTTGTGTGTGTGTGTGTGTGTGTGTGTGTGTGCGTTAGAATCAGTTTGTGTTTGAGCATATGAGTGAGGTGGGATTGTACAATCTCATTCAGAGGCTTGGGGACAGTCCATACATCTTTGAGGTTCTGGGACTCCAAGGAGGCTTTGCAGTTATTTGGGCTGGTTTTTGGCTACAATGAAGCATTGCTTATGGAGCTGAAAGGACATAAACCACAGGTCTTGTTATGGGGAAGTACAGGAATCCTCTGTCCTTGGTCTTCTTGCGGTGAAAAATTCAGGCAAGAGACCAATTAGTAATGTAAGCAAAAGGTTTATTAAGGACATAAGAGTGTACTCCAAGAGAGGAGTGGGTTGACCTGGCTAGAAAACAGCTCTTGGCTGGTTTGGCTGGAAAACAGCAGTAGTAGGAGCAAGGTTTAAGCAGTAGCACAGACAGTACACTCGGAAAGACAAGGCAGAGCAGGCTGCTAAAAAGAGAATGTAATGAGCCAGCAGCAACTCAGAGCATTCTACCTTGCAGCTTTTTATGTTGGACTCTTTAAGTTCCGGCCTCTGTCTCAAGTCTCCACCTTTGTCTAGTTTCCCCATTCTGCCTTAAGTCTCTGTCTTTTCCATGCCTAGTTCCCACCCCAGGTTTGCGGGATTCTCTCCTACTGTCAGGTGACGTGCATGAGCAAACACAGTGTCAAATATAAATTCTACCAAATGACAGGTTTGCTCATTACCACCACCAGGAAGGTTGTATTGCAGTTGAATCTGTACTTATTGTGCCTGCATATCTCTTAGGAGTTTCTCCTTGGCACTCCTTTCCTTTTTGACAGCCTGTAGCTAGCTAGGTTAACTGCAGAATGAGCAATTACTGGTCATCTTAAAGGGCATTTCTTTCTGCACAGGTGTTTCCCCTCCTCCCTGATTATATATAGCCTGCATATTTTGGATGGTCTCTGGGGTGTGAAATATTTCTTACTTCATTTTTTCAGAGGCTTTTCCTCTTGCTCATGTCAAGCTATCTCCCTGTTCTAACATTCTAACAAAAGACTGGCCTATCTCAGGGTCAGATCCTGAAGTGAGGACCTTGAGAGACTGCATTAGTCCATTTTCACAGTGCTGTGAAGAACTACCTGAGACTGAGTAATTTATGAAGAAAGGAGGTTTAATTGCCTCGCAGTTCTGCAGGCTGTACAGAAAGAATGGCTGAAAGGCCCCAGGAAAGATACAATCATGGTGAAAGGCAAAAGGGAGGTAAGCACATCTCACCAAGTTGGAGCAGGAGAGAGAGAAAAAGCAAAGGGGAAGTGCTACACACTTTTACACAACAAGATCTCATGAGAACTCACTCATTATCATGAGAACAGCAAGGGGAAAATCCCCCCCATGAGTCAATCACTGCCCACCAGGTTCCTCCCCCACCATTGTGAATTACAATTTTACATGAGATTTGAGTAGCAACATAGAGCCAAATAATATCACTCCATTCCTGTCTCCTCCCAAATCTCATGTTCTTCTCACATTTCAAAACACAATCATGCTTTCCCAACTGTCCTCCACACTCTTAAGTCATTCCAGCATTAACTCAAAAGTCCAAGTCCAAAGCCTCAACTGAGACAAGGCAAGTTCCTTCACCTATGAACCTGTAAAATAAAAAAACAGTTTGTTAATTCCAAAATACAATGTGGGTACAGGCATTGAGTAAATTATTCCATTCCCAAAGGGAGAAATTGGGCAAAACAAAGGGGCTACATGCCCCATGGAAGTCTAAAACTCAAGAGGGAAATCATTATATCTTAAATCTACAAAATATTCTTGACTCCATGTCTCACATCCAGGCATGCTGATGCAAGGGTTGGGCTCCCAAGGCCTTGGGCAGTCCCCCTCCTGTGACTCTGCAGAGTTCAGCCCCTGCAGCTGCTTTCACAGGCTGGTGAGTGACTGTGGCTCTTCCAGGGGGATGGTGCAAGTTGTCAGTGGATGTACCATTCTAGGGTCTGGAGGATGGTGGCCATCTTCTCACAGCTCCACTAGACAGTGTCCCAGTGGGGACTCTGTGTGAGGTCTCCAACCCCACATTTCTCCCATGCAATGCTCTAGCAGAGGCTCTCCATGAGGGCTCTGCCCCTGCAGCAGACTTCTGCCTGGTCATCCAGGCATTTTTATACATCTCCAAAATCTAGGCAGAGGCTCTTAAGCCTCAATTCTTGCCTTTTGTTCACCTGCACACCACATGGAAGCCACTAAGTCTTGGGGCTTTCACCCTCTGATGGCTCATACTGTACCTTGGCCCCTTTTAGCCATGGCTAGAGCTATGAGTACCTGGGACACAGGGCATCATGTCCTAAGGCTGCACAGAGCAGCAGGACCCTGGGCCTGGTTCACGAAACCATTTTTCCTCCTAGGCCTACAGGCCTATAATTAGAGGGGCTGCTGTGAAGTCTCTGAAATGCCCTGGAAGCATTTCCTCCATTGTCTTGGCTATTAGCATTTGTCTTCTCTTTACTTAAGCAAATTTCTGCAGCCTTGAGTTCCTCTCTAGAAAACTGGTTTTTCTTTTGTACTGTACAGTCAGGCTGCAAATTTTCCAAACTTTTTATGCTCCACTTCCCTTTTAGATATAAGTTCTAATTTCAGGTCATTTCTTTGTTTATGCAAATGAGTTTAGGCTTTTAGAATCAGCCAGGCCACATTTTGAATGTTTTGCTGCTTAGAAATTTCTTAATTGACTCTTTCTAAATTAACTCTCTCAAGTTCAAAGTTTCACAGATCTCTAGAACAGGGGCATAACGCCACCAGTCTCTTTGCTAAAGCATAGCAAGAGTGACCTTTACTCCAGTTCCCAGTAAGTTGCTCATCTTCAACTGAGACCACCTCAACCTGGACTTCGCTGTCCATATCACTATCAGAATTTTGGTCACAACCATCCAACAAGTCTCTAGGAAGCTCCAAACTTACTTCATCTTCCTATCTTCTTCTGATCCCTCCATACTGTTCCAACCTCTGCCCATTACCCAGTTCCAAAGTTGCTTCCACATTTTCAAGCATCTTTATATTAATGCTCACTTCTCTGGTACCAATTTTCTGTATCAGTCCATTCTCACACTGCTATAAATAACTACCTGATACTATGTCATTTATGAAGAAAATAAGTTTAATTGACTCACAGCTCTGCAGGCTGTACAGGAAGCATGGCAGAGAGGACTCAGCAAACATATAATCATGGCAGAAGGCAAAGAGGAAGCCAGCACATACAACCATGGTGGAGCAGGAGAGAGCAAAGGGTGAAGTGCTATATACATTTTTAAACAATGAGATCTCATGAGAACTCACTCACTTTTACAAGAAAGGCAAGGGGGAAATCTGCCCATATGATCCAATCACCTCCTACCAGGACCCTTCCCCAACACTCAGAATTACAACTAAAAATGAGATTTGGGTGAGGACACAAAGCCAAACCATATCAGTGACCCTCCCAGCTGAGTAAAATGGCTTTTTGGACTTAAATAGGAAAAATCTGTTTCTACCTGCTAGCTCTTTATTGCAGTGAGGGAATACAACTATTGATTAAGGACCACTTAATGAGATCATTTTATCTGTGGCCTTTAATTTTCTGCAAAGCAACGTAGCTATAATTTTAATCAACACTACCTCTCATCATTAATGTCAAAGATACCATAATTTGATTAGATTAAATGTGTAAATTGAAGAGAGAAAACTGTATTAGTCCATTGCTGATAAAGACATACCTGAGACTGGACAATTTCCAAAAGAAAGAGGTTTTTTGGACTTACAGTTCCACATGGCTGGGGAGGCCTCATGATCATGGCAGAAGGCAAGGAGGAGCAAGTTACATATTTGGTGGATGACAGCAGGCAAAAAAGGAGCTTGTGCAGGGCAACTCCCATTTTTAAACCCATCAGATCTCATGGTACCCATTCACTATCATGAGAACAGCACAGGAAAGACCCACTCCCATGATTTAACCATCTCCCACTGAGTCCTCCCACAACATGTGGGAATTACGGGAGCTATGAGATGACGCTTGGCCAAACCATATCAAAAACTACCTTAAGCGAGTCTACTATATGGCCTCTATTAAAGGAAATAAATGGTATAAATAGAAAATCTCATTAACTTTTCAAAGTAATTTATATGAGATAATGCCATACTCTATACATATACATATACATACACATATACATATATACATATAAATATATATATATACACATATAAATATATATATATATATATACACATATAAATATATATATATATATATACACACACACACACACACACACATATATATGTATATATATGGTATTTTGGGTTAAATAAAATATAACGTCCAGTTTGTAAAAGTCAAAAATAGATATTCACATGAATGTTTTTATCAGCTTCATTAATAACTGTCAAAATCTGAGAGTAACTAAGGCATCCTTGAAGAGATGAATGAATATAAAACACCAAAAACTGATATCAAAATTTTGAAACTAACTTCTACCGCCAAAAGATGAAAACATTCAAATAATGTTAATAAAAGCACCAATGTAATAGAGCTGAAATTGAACTCAAAGTACAGAAAAATCATAATCAGAATTTTTAATATTAATAGAAATAAAAGTATTAAGCACATGAAACTAATAGCAATGCAGTAAAATGAAATAATAAAGAAAACAACAGAAATGTATTAGACATTTGTATATTAGGATAAAAATAAAAAGAAATAAATCAATACATAAGATCCCTTTTTAAAAGTTTGAGAATTTTTTCAAAGTTTTATCTAACATAATAGGGAAAATAAGGAAAAGTCACAAATACACAAAACAAGATATTTTAGGGTAACTAACAACAGACAAATAGCCAATTTATTTTCAAAAAACATCTGAGCAACCTTGTACCTTTTTGTACTATTTTGCTCTCAACCCTATTTAAGTAAATAAAACACATTAAAAAACGACAAAAAAGTAGAAAAATTTAAATTATGAAAACTGAACCCAAAATAGGTCATCCAGGTAAAATTACATCCATAGTAGGGGGAAAAATGTGAGTTTTAAAGGAATTGTCTGTCTTTGAAGCCATAAGTTAATAAATGATTAATCTACTTTTTGAACAACAGGTAATATTTTACATACTGAAACCAGAAAACAAAATCCCCAATTTTTGGAAACTTTTAGTGAAGTGAGATTATATTAATCTCACACCTGAAAAAGATTTTTTAAAAAAGAAAGAACAATTTTAATTAAGATTGATGCAAAGGTCATGACAAAATTCAGAATCCACCATACATTATCTACACATGGTAGATAAAATTACCTACCCCTTGCTCCCCAAAAATGGAATTCTAGTTTATTATTACAATATATATTCTGTACATTAAGGCATTAATTAATGTCTTAATTCTTGTCGACTTAAGTAATACAATTATGTTGATGCTAAAAAGGACACCAAAAAGTCAGCACTCAATTTGGGAAAAAATACAAATTAATAATAACTTTAACCAAATAAACTTTATAACTCTATAATGTTCTAATAGCATCATCTGACCTAACAGGAATAAAATAGAAGCAGTTCCTCTATAGTCAGAAAAAGGTAACAATATTTTAGTAGAAGGAAATCATAGCTAAAACAATCTGAAATTCATAATATCATTATTTTCAGATTGTAGATGATGCAATTTTATGCCTAGGAAAATATAATAATTAAGTAATGATTACTAAAGTCAATTAGAGGGTTTTTAAGATGATAGTGAATAGAATTAAATGAATTAATAGCATTTGTTTAAATATAAATAAGTAAGTTAAAATGTAATATAAGAGAAGACTTCATTTAAAATAGCATCCATTCTTAGGGGCAATGCTTTCAAACGTTTCCCCATTCAAGATGATGTCGGCTGCGGGTTTGTCATACATGGTCCTTATTATTTTGAGATCTGTTCCTCCCATCCCTAGTTTGTTACCATCAAGGATGCTGAATTTTATCAAATGCTTTTTCTACATCTATTAATATTATCATACAGTTTTTGTTTTTAATTCTGTTTATATGGTGAATCACATTTATTGGTTTAGGTATGTCAAACCATCATTGCACCCCTGGAATAAAACTCATGTGACTGTTGCATATTATATTTGATTTGTTGTTATATTTGATTTGCTAGCATTTTGTTGAGAATTTTTGCATCTTCATTAGTGACGTTGGTCTGTAGTTTTCTTTTTACGTTGCGTTTTTGTTTGGCTTTGGTATAATTTTATTGGATATTGGCTTTGTAGAATGAGTTAGGGAAGATTCCCTTCTCCTAGATATCTTGGAACATTTTCAGTAGTATTGGAACCAGTTATTGTTTCTCCGGTAGATTTTTACTGTTGGTCCATCTGGTGTTGGCTTTTTTTTTCTTCTTTTGGGGAGTTTTTTTTTATTACTGTTTCAGTTTTACTGCTCATTGTCAGCCTTTTCAGGATTTCTGTTTCTCCCTTGTTCAACCTTGGGAAGTTTGTATGTTTCCAGGAATTCATCCATTTCCTCTGGATTTTCTAGGTCGCAACGTGGAAACTAGAAAATGTTCGTAGAAGTCTCAAGGTGGAAATGTTCATAGTTGTCTCAGAGGTTCTTTTGTATTTGTGTGGAATCATTTGTAATGTCTCCTTTTCATTTCTAATTGTGCTTATTTGAATCTTCTCTCTTCTGTTCTTGGATAGTCTAGCTAGCAGTATATCAAGTTTCTTTATCTTTCCAAAAAACCAGCTCTCATTTAGTTGGTCCTTTGTATTTTAGTTTTTGGTCTTAATTTCATTTATTTCTGTTCTGATCTTTGCTATTTCTCTTTTTCTGCTAACTTTGAGTTTTCTTTGTTCTTGTCTTGTAGTTCCTTAAGGTACAACACTAAGTTTTTATTTTATGATCTTTCTATCTTTTTTATGTAGGCATTTAATGCTATACACTTCCCTCTTAGTACTGCTTTTGCCGTATCCCAGAAGTTGTGGTATGTTGTGTCTTCATTTTGATTCATTTCAAAATGTTTTTATTTCTATCTTAATTTCATTATTGACACAAAGATCACTCTTTGTGTCAATTTAATTAAATTGTTAATTAATTAAAATTAATTAAAATTGTTTAATTTCCATGTATTTGTATAGCTTTGAGAATTACTCTTGGAATTGACTTCTAATTTTATTCCACTGTGGTCCAAGAATATACTTGGTATAATTTTTATGTTGAAACTTCTTCAGAGTTGTTTTGTTGCCTGTAGTCTATCTTGGAGAATGTATGTTTTCTGGTTGTTGAGTAGAATATTCTGTAAATGTCTGTTAGGTCCATTTGTTCTAAGGTGTAATTTTAGTCTAGTGTTTCTTTGTTGATTCTCTATCTCAAATCAGTGTAGTGCTGTAAATAGAATGTGGAAATCCCCTACTACTATTGTATTTCTGTCTATTTTTAACATCAAATTATATTTCAGGGCTATAGATGTCAAAATAGCATGGGACTGACATAAAAGTAGACACATAGATCAAAAGAACAGAATCGAGAAGCCATAAGATCTTTGAAAGATCAGCGAACTGATCTTTGAAAAATTGACAAAAACATACACTGGGGAAAGGAGATCACATTCAATAAATTGTGCTTGGAAAATTGGATTGCCATATACAGAAACATATGTCACCAGACCTCTGTCTCTCACCATATACAAAAATTAACTCAAGATGAATTAAAGATTAAATGTAAAACCTGAAGCTATAGAAATACTAGAAGGAAACCTAAAATCAACAACTCTTCTGGACATTGGCCTTGGCAAAGAAGCCATGAATAAGGTTTCAAAAGCAAATGCAATAAAGACAAATAGACAAATGAGACTTAAATAAACTAAAATTTTTTTTTGCATGGCAAGGAAATAATCAACAAAGTGATCAGACAACCTGAAGAATGAAAGCACGTATATGCAAATAGCGCATCTGACAAAAGACTAATATCCAGACTCTACAAGGAATTTAGCCACTGAGCTAGCAAAACACAAATAACTAATTTAAAAAAGGGGGCAAATAGCATGAACAGACATTTTTCCAAAGAAGACATACAAATCACCACAAGTATATTTTAAAAATTCTCAACATCACTACTTATCACAGAAATGCAAATTAAAATCACTAAAATGACTAATATGAAAAAATTAAAAAAATAACAGATGTTGGTAAGGATGCAGGAAAAAAGCAATACTGCTTCCTGTAGCGATTTTACTAATTTCCATTCCCAGTAAATTACTAAAATCGCTACAGGAAACAGTATAGAGCTTTCTCCAAGAACTAAAAATGGAAGCGACATTTGATCCAGCAAACCCACTACTGAGTATCTACCCAATGGGAAAGAAATAAACATACCAAAAATGTAACCTGCACTCATGTGTTTAATGCAGCACTGTTCACAATAGCAAAGATGTGGACTCAATGTAAATGTCTATCAGTGGATGATTGACCAGAAAATGTGGTATATATATATATATAAAATATGGAATACTACTTAGCCATAAAAAAGGAAACATTTTCTGCAGCAACATGATGGAACTAGAGGCCATTATTTTAAGAGCAACAACTCAAAAACAGAATGTCAAAACATGTTCTCTTTAATAAGTGGGAAGTCATTTATAATCATGTACAATGAGAGTCAAATAATAGGCATTGGAGACTTAGAAGGGTGGAACACAGGAGAGAGATGAGAAATGAGAAATTACTCAATGAATACAATGTACACTATTTGGGAAATGGCTACACTGAAATTTCAGACTTTACCACTATAATATATCCATGTAACAAAACTGCACTTATAACCTTTGAATCTGTAATAAGAAAATAGCATCAACACATAACATTTTTTGAAGTAAACTAAAAAATGTAGAAAAATATGAGTATCAAAAATATCTCGATGGATAAAAAATAAACTTGAAGACATTAAAAAAGTTATACTCAGAAAACTCAAAATTAGAGATATATCAATTCTATTTACCTTGCATACAATTATGATATTAAACCATAAAATTACTTAAAAGAATTAGGAAGTAAATCTTTAAAGTCTTGGAATAAGAAGGTGCTTTTTTTAACTATGACATAAAATATAGACTATATAATTAGAATACTGTTGATTAGATTATATTTCTAAAAACATTTCCTGCTAATAAACATTTGAAAAGTCAAAAGAACATATAGAAGCTAGTACATATATTTATTAGTGATTCAAATAATAAGGATTAATCTTCCTATTATGTAATGATCTCATAGAAAATGAATTTAGAATTTTTTTTAATTTTTTAATTTTTTTTTTTTTTTTTGAGACAGAGTCTCACTCCATCACCCAGGCTGGAGTGCAGTGGTGCAATCTCAGCTCAATGCAACCTCCGTCTCCCAGGTTCAGGTGATTCTCCTGTCTCAGCCTCCCTAGTAGCTGGGATTACAGACACACGCCACCACATCTGGCTAATTTTTTTTTTTTTCACCATGTTGGTCAGGCTGGTCTCAAACTCCTGACCTCAAGTGATCTGCCCGCCTCGGCCTCCCAAAGTGCTGGGATTACAGGCACGAGCCATCATGCCTGGCCGAGTTTAGAATTATAAAACCAAAGAAAAATAATTAGCAAAATTAATGAATTGAGTGTTGAGGGAAAAAAGCCCTAAAATATATAAAAATATGTTCAACTCCACCTAAGATAAGATAAATGCAAATTAAAAATATAATGACATGCCATTTCTTACTTTCAAACTAGTAAATATTCAAAATGTTGACAACACTCTATAGTAAAATAGGTATGGAATAATCTCCGTATCATGATACTAAGTGAAAAGTTGGAACTGCAGAAATTCAATCAGAAAGGTTAAGAAATTATAATACATATTTATATTTACTACTATAAAACATTTTTAAAAAACAATAACATTGGTAACAGGTGTGTGGATGTTTGGGATGAAGATAACTTAATGGCATACTTCTTTTTTCCATAATTTTAAGTTTGAGCATAGTGAACATATAATAATCAGGAAGATAATTTTTATTATAAGGCATTAAGGCCTACATAATCAAATTATTTTTAAAAAATAAGTTAACAAATGGAATCATCAGTGCTGGAAACTGTATCTTCCAGAACCTAAATCAAATAAAAATATTATCTTGCAATACATAAATATTATAACAAATAAATAAAAAAAATGAGTGTAGGAGTTACATATTTTGGGTTTCTATTACGTTCATGGTATAGTACCTCATGGAGGTACCAGAAAAGATGGAGGAGATGCAATTAACAGATAATAGACGTTCACATTTCTTGGCTGAATAGCCACTTGGAGCTGCATATTGAAATGGTACAATGACTAGGGGTAATGAATAAGACACAAAATAAACATAAATATATATGTATATATAATTTGAACTTAGAAGGGAGGGATTTTTAGCACATTTTTATCAAAGAAAATTTACAAAATAAAGAAAAACAGATATATTTTTCAACTGTCTCAGGGGAAACATACTTAAATGGCTTTTAAAAAATGTGCAAATAGGTCTATAAGCCAAAATTTCTACACTCAACAAATATAGATACATGCATATAATATGTACATATAATATATACTCATGTTAGAGAATATATACAATGTACACTATATTATATATTTCAAAAATACGTTAGTTTTTTTTAAAAAGACATTATTGGTTATACCAAGATTCAGCAATTGCATTAACTATTTATCGCATGTATTGAAATTTTACAAGGACATACTCTATACAAAATAAACTTAGGCAATATACTCCCCCAAAAAGAAAAAATAAGTGGCATAAGAAACATAATAAACTATGAACTAAGAAAATGCATGTGCAATTAAAAGGACTGATAGTAATGATTACATACCGAATATCTGTTAACAAAGTATACTGAATAAAAAGAACAGCACAAAGAAATTCTTAGTAATAGCATGAAAATAATATTACAAATGGTTTAGAAACATGATCCCTGTGGTTGGATGGAGAGTAGCAGAAGGGATCTTAGTTACAGAAATTTGAAAACTATTGTTCAAACAAAAATATTGTGGTAATGACTGCAGTTGGTTCAAAGGATTAAACAGGAGTTCAAAAATTTAGAAACACAATTTGTATTGTTAAGAAGTACGATAAAGGATATACGCCAGGCACTGTGGAGCATGCTTGTAGTCTCAGCCACTTGGAAGGCTGAGTCAGGAGGCTTGCCTGAGCCCAGGAATTCAAGGCTGTAATGCCCTATGATTAAACCTGTTAATAGCCACTGCCCTCCAGCTTGGGCAACATAGAAAGATCCCATCTCTTAAATATATGCATGTACATATATTTAATATGTATATGAATATATACATTAATTTGCCCCTGATATTTACACATCAAAATATATGAACTAGTAAATTACTTTCTAATAAAGTGATAAGAGAAAATGTAATCAACTGTTTCAGGGCAAACATTCTACGTTTAGACTGAATGGAAGTCTTTTACTGAGAGGGAATATATTACTATGACTCACATTAAAAATCAAATAAAACAATAATAATAATAATTGTGTTTAGCATATAATATCACAAAATAAAAAGTAAATGATATAATAGTAAACAAAATGTGGATAGGTATATAATGTATATATGTATCAATACATAAAGTATTGTTGAAGTTTCTAACACACACACACACAAACAGATAAAAGGTAAGGAAGAGATTCATCAAGGAGTTTGGGAGTGCAATATTTGTAGTAAAGGATACTCCCACACTCTGAAATTAACAACTGACATAAGTACTTTTAAGATAATTACATGCGATATATTTTTAAAAGGAGGCTGATATCTCGTTCACCTACTAATTTCTGACAAAGGAGGGAATTTAATGAGCTGCAGGACGTAGCCCTGGTTACAGCCACATGGGTGGAAGAAAATTAGAGCAGTCTTAAGGTTGAGGTGAGGGTGGGAAAGGTTTTTTCCCAGCAGTAAATGTCCTCCGATCTTACCACCTGGGAATATCAAAGACGTGTCTTTCCTTTTGCAAAGTGCCTGCTCTTGAGCCATCTTGGTAAGTCAGGGAGGAATTCATTGGGACAGAAGACACTAGCAGGAGATTCTAAAACTCCTTATGGCAGAATCTGAGGTGGAGGAAGAGGTTCATTTCGTGACAGATGCTCAATTTTAATTGTGTTCCTTTCAAGCCCCACAGTCTTTCTTAATTAAAAATGCATGTGCCCACAAAAGAGCCAAAACTACCAGTATTCAATACCCATAGTGAATAGATGCCAAAGTAAATCAGAATATAGGAATAACCAACCAAGAACGTCTACACCACGGAAAGTTTATTAAATCAATGTTTGCCTTGTTTTTGTTTAATCTTTTTCTCCTCCAAACATTTCATGAGAATAGTAAAATCTAGAAAAAGAAATCAGGAGAAATTTCCGAATCAAAATATATCACTTATCTTTGCTCCAGAGGCCTGATATAAGTAAGAGGAGGAGTAAAAATGGAAATCATACCCCTTTTCACTGCAAATTCCTAGAGATCATATATTTCCTTTGCATAGGGAATGAGAAAAAAGACATTAATATAATGAAAAAGATGAACTTTTAATTTTAAAATAGAAAACTAAAAGTTACAAAATTTGCCAAAAATTGTAGGGAACTATATGAGATTTTATATAGTATAAATTTAACATTAATTAGAGAAAAAGAATCCTATCCTAGTTGCACTCTTGAGTTGAATCTAAACTTGCACTGGCACTGCCTATTGATAAATATAATGAAGACAGTTCTGGAGTACGAAGCCTCAGGGGTGTATCTCCTCCAATCTTATGAGAAAGCAGTGACAGGAGAGGTAGCTGTGCATTTGGGATAGGGGCTAAAATCTTGCTCTCCTCCAAGATATCCCTTTAAGATATCAAAAGATATCAATATAGCTGATCACAATCTCCCCCAATTAAAAACTGAATTGTCTTTGGGTTAAACACAGCTGTATCAATAAATATGGAAAACAAATGGCTAAAACTTTAACAACCATGATTTGCAAAGTCTTTGTCTCTAAAATTTTAATCAGTCAGAAATACGTGCTTCACTTCAAATTTTACTAGAATGCCCTTTTTTTTTTCTCCTGTATCTGGAGATAAAGCATCTCCAGATTTTTCAATTGAGGATTTAGCATTCAGTTGCAATGTGTTTATAATCTGTGCAGCATTATACAATCTATTCTTATTCTCCAAATCCTCAGCTTGTACAATTTTAAAACAAGAATAATATATTGGAAAATTCTAAATTACTTTCATCTCTTTAATTCATTAAAATTGTATGTATAATTTTATAAAGAAGAAAAAGGAGCAAATCATTTGTAAGACATTTTGACAAGCTCAAATTACTCTTTATAAAGTTAATATATTATACTTATATTTCAGCATTAAGAGTTACAAGTTAGGAAACACATTATTTTATCTGCTTGCATTCTTGCAAACTACCAAATTATAGAGCACTCACAAAAGAGCTTAGTCACAGTTTCATCCTATCTGTGACCCAGAACATTACAACAGCTTGTGCAGCATAAAAGGGCAAAAAAGGATAAACATCCTTTGCAATTATATAACAATAAATGAACCATAGCTGATCAGCATTATGATGAGATGTGTCCTGAGAGAATTTATTTAGTCAGTTAGTCATTGAGAAGAAGTGCACAGAATAAATCCATTGGGCATATGGGCAGCATGTGTTCAAGGACTCCCTGCAGCATTGAGATGACACATTATTATAAAATATAATGTACCATCTCTGCTATTATCATAATTCTTATGAGAAAAAATAATTCTATGTTTTTATATACAAATATTTCCTGGGAATAAAACAACACAAAAAGGTGATGTGGAAAGCTTCTAAAGATATTTTTAACTGTGAAAAGTAGTGATTTATAATAAAACTTGATAGAGAATGGTATATAATGTAAAAAGACTTTTTTTCCTTCAACTTACCAGATGTCTTATGGTTTCTTAGTATCATTTATTTTCTTTATTTCATACCTAAAGCTCATATTGACAATCTAAATTAGGTGTTTTCTTTTTCATACCTAAATTCCAGAATAATATCTGTGACTAAATATATTAATGTATTATTTTCAAGAATAGTTACTTGATAGTACTGCCAAGACTTCTGTGTATGGGTATCATCTACATTTTCCTAATATATTATCTTTTCTTTTCTTAACATGTGAATATATAACTAATATAATCAACATTATTTAAATTAACCAATATTTTGTTTTCAAAATAAATGGTTCCAGAAAAATTACTTAAATTTCCAAAGTTCTTTCCTCATTGACCAAGAAGAATGGAAGAAAGACTATGAATTTTCTTGTATGTACTAGATTTTAGGAAAATCTAGCTCCAAAAAAAACCAGCAATAAAACAGAAGGAAAACAAAATAAAAGATTTGTGAACCCAGATATATCTTTGATTCTATGTCATAAAGTCATCTGTTTGATAATAGAGATCAGGCAGGCGGTGATATTACATATTAGCAAATTTTGCTATGAAGAAGCCAGCTCATATCAGCTGGCTAAAGCCAGTTGTTTAACACAGCTATGAATAAATTTATTCTATATTGTTTAGGTTAAAAACAAAGATAATACTACTTTATACTCATTACTTCCTAGTTCTTCTACTAAATTTTAATATTATCTCTGGTTTCAAGGTTATTTATGTCTATTCTAGCTTTGTAGTGAAAATACCATTTAATTAGTGGTACCACACATCTCTTCTAACTCCAAGCAATGTGAAGTTAGTAGCTTGAAATAGGTTCATATAAAAGTATTTGCACTATGAAAATGGACAAGTTGTACAAATCAGGGTAAAATGTATGATTTTGTTAATTTTCCTTTTTTTTCAATTGACAAGGACAGTTTCATTTTTGTTTCTTGCCCATTAGTGCATCTTTTATTTTTATCCTGGTTTATTGCATCAGTGAGAACTTCCAGTGTGATGTTGAAAAGGAGTGGTGAGAGAGGATGTCTTTGCCTCAGTCCTGATCTTAGCAGAAAAGCTTTGAGTTTCTCATGAAGTGTGATGTTAGCTGTACTACAAAAACAGACACATAGACCAATGGAACAGAATAGAAAACCTAGAAATAAGGCCACACACCTGCAACCAACAGATCTTTAACAAACCTGACAAAAACAAGCCATGGGGTAAGGACTCCCTATTCAATAAATGGTGCTGGGATAAGGGGCTAGGCATATGCAGAAGATTAAAACTGGACACTTCTTTTTTTACACAATATACAAAAATGAATTAAAGACTTAAATGTAAAATGAAAAACTACAAAGCCCTGAAAAACAATGTATGCATTCTGGATGTAGAACTAGGCAAAGATTTCATGATGAAGATGCCAAAAGCAAAAGCATCAAAAGCAAAAGCTGACAAATGGGATCTAATTAAACTTAAGAGCTCTGCACAGTGAAATAAACTATTAACGGAGTAAACAGACAATGTAAAGAATGGGAGAAAATTTTCCAACTATGTATCTGACAAAGATGTAATATTCAGCACCTATAAGGAACTTAAATAAATTTACAAGAAACAAACAACCCTAATAAAAAATGGGCAAAGGACATGAACAGATACTTTTCAAAAGAAGATATACATGTGGCCAAGAAACATATAAATAAAAAAGTTCAATATCATTGATTATTAGAGAAATGCAAATCAAAACCACAATCAGATACCATCTCACATCAGTCAAAATGGCTATTATTAAAAAGTCAAAAAATCACTGATCCTGTCAAGGTTGTGGAGAAAAGGGAATGTTTATCCACTGTTGATGGGAATGTAAATTAGTTCAATCATTGTGGAAAGCAATGGTGCAATACCTCAAAGAGCTAAAAGCAAAACTACCATTTAACCCAGCAATTCAATTTCTGGGTATATACACAAATGGATATAAATTATTCTACCATAAGAAGAGAAATCATTCTACTATAAAGACACATATATGTTCTTTCCAGCACTATTTACAATAGCAAAAAAAAAAAATTAAATCAACTTAAATATCCATCAATGACTGATTGAATTAAGACAATGTGATACATATACCCTAAGGAATACTACACAGAATGATGTATTGGTCCATTTTAAAACACTTCTATGAAGAAATATCCAAGACTGAATAATTTATAAATAAAAAGAGATTTAATGGACTCACAGTTCCACATGGCTGGGGAGGCCTGACAATCATGGCAGAAGGTGAGGTAGGAGCAAAGGCACATCTTACATGGCGGTAGGCAGGACAGCATGTTCAGGGGAACTGCTTTATAAAACCATCAGCTCTCTTAAGACTTGTTCACAATCATGAGAACAGCACAGGAAAGACCTGCCTTCATGATTCTGTTACCTACCACTAGGTCCCTCCCACGACCTGGGAATTATGGAAGCTACAATTCAAGATGGGAATAGGGTGAGGACACAGCCAAACCATATCATTTTGCCCCTGGCCCCTCCCAAATTTCATGTTCTCACATTTTAAAATCAATCATGCCTTCCCAATAGTCCCACAAAGTCTTAACTCATGTCAGCTTTAATTCAGAAGTCCATAATCCAAAGTCTCATCTGAGACAAGGAAGTGCCTTCCACCTATGAGCCTGTAAAATCAGAAGCCAAGTTAGTTAGTTCCTAGATACAATGGGGGTACAGGCACTAGGTAAATATGCCCGTTCCGAATGGGAGAAATTGGCCAAAACAATGGGGCTACAGGCCGCATGTAAATCCAAAATCCAGTGGGGCAGTCAAACTAATGCTCCAGAATGATCTCCTTTAACTCCATGTCTCGCATCCAGGTAACACTGATGCAAGAGATGGGTTCCCATGGCCTTGGGCAGCTTTGCCCCTGTGGCTTTGCAGAGTACAGCCCCACTCCTGGCTGTTTTCACAGGCTGGTGTTGAGTGTCTGTGGCTTTCCCAGGTGCACGGTGCAAGCTGTCAGTGCATCTACCATTCTGGGGTCTGGAGGATGATGACCCTCTTCTCACAGCTTCAGTAACCAGTGCCCCAGTAGGGCCTCTGTCTGGGGGCTCCCATCCCACATTTCCCTAGCAGAGGTTCTCTCTATGAGGTTTCTGTCCCTGCAGCACACCTCTGCCTGAACATCCAGGCATTTCAATACATCCTCTGAAATGTAGGTGGAAGTTCCCAAACTTCAATTACTGACTTCTGTGCACCTGCAGGCCCAAAACCACATGCAAGCCACCAAGGCTTGGGGCTTGCACCCTCTGAAGCAATGGCCTGATCTGTACATTAGCCCATTTTTGCCATGGCTGGCATGCAGGGAACCAGGTACCAAGACTGCACAAAACAGCAAGGTCCAGGGCCCAGCCTAGGAAACAATTTTTTCCTCCTAGGCCTCCCAGCTTGTGATGGGAGGGGCTGCCAGAAGACTTCTGACATGCCCTGGAGACATTTTCCCCATCGTCTTGGTGATTAACATTTGGCTCCTCATTACTTATGCAAATTTCTGCAGCCAGCTTGACTTTCTCCTCAGAAAATGGGTTTTTCTTTTCTATGGCATCATCAGGCTGCAAATTTTCCAAACTATTTTGCTCTGCTTACCTTTTAAACATAAGTTCCAATTCCAAACTGTATCTTCGTTAATGAATAAAAAGGAATTATTTTAAGAGCACTCAAGTCACCTGTTGAACGCTTTGCTGCTTGGAAATTTCCTCCACCAGATACCCTCAATCATCTCTCTCAAGTTCAAAGTTCCACAGATCTCTAGGACAGGGGCAAAATGCTACCAGTCTCTATGTTTTAGCAATAGATGAGCAATAGGCCTCATCTTCATCTGAGACCATCTTAGCCAGAACTTTTTGGTCAAAACCATTCAACAAGTCTCTAGAAAGCTCCAAACTTTCCCACACCTTCCTGTCTTCTTCTGAGCCTTCCAAACTGTTCCAACCTCTGCCTCTTACCCAGTTCCAAAGTCACTTCCACATTTTGGGGGATCATAATAGCACTGCCCAACTCTACCTATACTAATTTACTGTATTAGTTCATTTTCATACTGCTATGAAGAAATACGAGAATGGGTAATTTATAAAGAAAAAGAGCTTTAATGAACTCACAGTTCCACATGGCCGGGGAGGCCTTACAATCACGGCAGAAGGCAAAGGAGGAGCAAAGGCATATCTTACATAGCAGCAGGCAAGAGAGCATGTGCAGGGGAACTCTCCTTTATAAAACCATCAGATCTCATGAGACTTATGCACTATCATGAGAACAGCACAGGAAAATCCACCCCCATTATTCAATTACCTCTGACCAGGTCCCTCCTACAACACATGGAGATTATGCGAGTTACAATTCCAGATGAGATTTTGATGAGGAGACAGCCAAACAGTATCAAAAGGTATCATGTCTTTTGCAAGAACATGTATGTAGCTGGAGGTCATTATCTTTAGGAAACTACATGAGAACAGAAAACCAGATGCCACATGTTCTCACTTGTTAGTAGGAGCTAGATAACGAGAACACATGGACATAAAGAGCAGAACAATAGACACTGGAGCCTACTTGAGGGTTGAGGGGTGGAAGAGGGAGAGGGTCAGAAAAAATAACTATTGGGTACTAAGCTTAGTTCATGCATGATGAAATAATCTCAACAACAAATCCCCATGATATAAGTTTTCCTACAAAACAAACACAAAAATAATACAATGAAATGCAAAAAAAAGTTTTGAAATTGGGTTATATGAGTCTTCCAATATTGTTCTTTGTTTTGAAGATTGTTGTTTTGAAGATTGTTTTGGCTATTTTAGGTCCTTTCTGAATTTCATATATGTGTTATAATCACCTTATCAATGTATATAAAAAGCCTGCTGGGGTTTTTTATTTTAGTTTGATTTCTTTATGTTTTTGAGACCAGGTTATAAGACTGGCTAATTTGTGTATGTTTTTTAGAGATGGGGTTTCCCCATGTTGCCCAGGCTGGTCTGGAACTTCTGGCCTCCTGTGATCCACCCTCCTCAGCCTCCCAACATGCTGGTAGTACAATCGCGAGCCACCGTGCCCAGCTCCTGCTGGGATTTTGATTGAGATTTTATTGAATCTAGATTGATATGGCGGGTGTGGAGGGAATTAATTGAATGCTTTGCTGTATCTAGTATTGCCTCATTCATTGAGGTTTTGCCAATTTTTTATGTGATAATTGATTCAACATTAGAGATTTATCATAAAGAGGTTTATATCATTTATTGTTATTTGTAAATGTGTGCTATACTTCCTTTACATCAGTAAAATTTATAATCAACTTATGTATATACACATATACTTACATTATTCTTCCAGAGAACTGGCTGTTAAACATGTATCATCAACCATTGCATAAATTAAAAAATGAGATAACACAGAGAAATACTACATTGCAAAAAAAAAAAGAAAAGAAAAAGAACAGAGAAAATGAACAAAAAGAAAGATGTAAAAATTTTCAGGGAACTCTTGTTTTCCATTTTTTAAAACTTTTATTTTAACTTCAGCGCTATAAGTGCAGGTTTGTTACATAGGTAAACTTGTGTCATGGGAGTTTGTTGTACAGTTTATTTCATTACCCAAATATTAAGCCTAATACTCATTAGTTACTTTTCCCGATGCTCTCGGTCCTCCCACCCTCCACTGTTTCAAAGGCCCCAGTGCGGGTTGTTTTCTATATGTGTTCACTTGTTCTCATTATTTAACTCCCACTTATAAGTGAGAACATGCAGTATTTGTTTTTCTGTCCCTGCATTAGTTTGCTAAGAATAATGGCCTACAGCTCCATCCATGTCCCTACAAAGGACATGATCTCATTCTTTTATTATGGGTACATAGTACTCCATGGCATATATGTACCACGTTTCCTTCATGCAGTCTATCTTTGATGGTGATTTATGTGGATCCCATGTCTTTGCTACTGTAGATAATGCTGCAATAACACATGTGTGCATATGTCACTATAATAGAATGATTTTTATTCCTTTGGGCATATACCCAGTAATGGGATTGCTGGGTTGAATGTGGTTCTGTCTTTAGATCTTTGAAGAAACACCACACTGTCTTCCAAAGTAGCTGAACTAATTTACATTCCCACCAACAATACATAAGAATTCCTTTTTCTCCACAAGTTGCCAGCATCTATTACTTTTTGACTTTTTAATACAAGCCATTTTGACTGATGTGAGATGGTATCTCACTGTGGCTTTGATTTGCGTTTCTCTAATGATCAATGATATTGAGCTTTTTTTCATATGATTGTTGACCACATGTATGTCTTCTTTTGAAAAGTATCTGTTTACATGCAACCAAACCCAAATGCCCGTCAATGATAGACTGGATAAAGAAAATGTGGTACATATACACCATGGAATACTACGCAGCCATAAAAAGGAATGAGATGATGTCTTTTGCATCATCTGAGTGTGATGATGTTTTAGTTTGCTGAGTATGATGAAGCTGGAATCCATCATACTCAGCAAACTAACACAGGAACAGAAAATCAAACATCACATGTTCTCACTCATAAGTGTCAGCTGAATATTGAGAACACATGGACACAGAGAGGGGAACAACACACACTAGGGCCTGTTGAGGGGTAGGGGACAAGGGGAGGGAACTTAGAGGACAGGTCAATAGGTGCAGGAAACCACATGGCACATGTATACCTACATAGCAAACCTGCACGTTTTGCACATGTATCCTGTATTTTTTAGAAGAAATAAAGAAAAACAAAAATTAAAAAAGAAAATAACAATAAGGCTTTCAGATGACCACTGAATTATTTCTAAATAATTAAAATATAAATAAATGAATAAATAAATAAATGAGAAAAAAGTCTGTGTTTATGTCCTTTGCCCAGTTTCTTATGGGGTTGTCATTTTTTTTAGTAAATTTGTTTACATTTCTTATAGATGTTGGATATTAGACCTTTGTCAGATGCGTAGTTGGCAAAACTTTTCTCCTATTCTTTAAGTTGTCTGTTTACTTCATTCATAGTTTCTTTTGCTGTGCAGAATCTCTTTACCTTACTTAGATCCTATTTGACAATTTTGCTTTTGTTGCAATTGCCTTTGGTGTCTTCGCCCTGAATTCTTTTCCTGTACCGATGTTCTGAATGGTATTGCCTAGGTTGTCTTCCAGAGTTTATATAGTTTTGGGTTTTACATTTAAGATTATAATCCATCTTGAGTTAATTTTTGCATATGATTTAAGAAAGGGGTCCAGTTTTAACCTTCTGCATATATCTAGCCAGTTATCTCAGCACCATTTATTGAATAGGGAATCCTTTTCCTATTGTTTGATTTTGTCAGGTTTGTCGAAGATCAGATAGTTGCAGATGTGCGGTTTTATTTCTGGGTTCTCTATTCTGTTCCACTGGTCTATGTGTCTGTTTTTGTACTGGTACTGTGCTATTTTGGTTACTGTAGCCCTATAGCATAGTTTGAAGTTGGGTAGCCTGATGCCTCCAGCTTTGTTCTTTTGCTTAGGATTTCCTTGGCTATTCAGGCTCTTTTTTTTTATTTCATGCGAATTTTAAAATAGTTTTCTGTAGTTTAGTGAAGAATGTCAAAGGTAGTTTAATTAGAATAGCATTGAATCTATAAATTGATTTGGGCAGTATGGCCATTTTAATGATATTGATTCTTCCTACCCATGAGCATGGAATGTTTTTCCATTTGTTCGTGTCATCTCTGATTTCTTTGAGCAGTGCTTTGTAGCTCTTCTTGTAGAGATCTTTTACCTACCCAGTAAGTTGTATTCCTAGGCACTTTATTCTTTTTGTGGCTATTGTGAATGGAAGTATGTTCCTGATTTGGCTCTCGGCTTGACTGTTATTGGTGTATAGGAATGCTAATGATTTTTGCACATTGATTTTATATCTTGATGCTTTGATGCAGCTGTTTATCAGTTTAGGAAGCTTTTGGGCTGAGACTATGGGGTTTTCTAGGTATAGGATTATGGCATCAGCAAGCAAAGATAGTTTGACTTCTTCTCTTCTTATGTGAATACACTTTATTTCTTTCTTTTCCCTGATTTCTCTGGCCAGAACTTCCAATACTATGTTGAATATGAGTGGTGAGAGTGGGCATCCTTGTCTTGTGTTGGTTTTAAAGGGAATGATTTCAGCTTTTGCCCATTCAGTACTATACCATTAAATGACACTAAAGTATTTCATTTTTTTGTGTTTAGACTTTATATAAATAGCTACTTACAAGCCTTGTGGATTTGCAATAGTATTTACAAAGCCGCCATTCTGAAATAGCTAATCTAACCCATTTGAATTGGAAATGTTTCCTAAAACACCAAAAGCATACATTGGGTCATTTGTGAAATCTGCTGATATATGTTTTTCATTTTAACATGCATATCTAAATTTCTCAATGAATATACAATTAATGTTGCTAACTTTTATGTTGTGAAGTGTAGTATAGTTTCTCAAATAAAATATTATGAGTACAACTAACAAGATGTCATCAAAGTTTTTATCCAAGATTTTATTTAATTTTACGAAAATGAAGATTTTATTTAATTTTACAAAAAACAAATCCTAACGGGCTTCTTGAGAACCTGGAAGGTTAGAAAAAGCCTATTTTTTGCCATTGGATATAGTAATTGGACAATGTATTTAAAAAGTAGAAATATATTACTTTTTTACTATGGAAAAATAAATAAATTTGATTCTGTTTCTAGATCTATGTCAAAATGGATTCTAGGAATGACCTTGCTGATTAAAATAATTTAAAAGTTAGGTAGTTTTAAAATCTTATTCAATATAAAAAAGAAAGTATTTTCACTTGTTACAAATAAAGTGACAGCACTAATCCTGAAGGTAACTGTATTTTACTCTGTTTCTGCCAAGTCATTGAGACATTGACAACACCTATAAATTTTTCGGAGGAAACATTATAATGAGAAGTCTTTACATAATCACTAATATCATACTCTCTGGGGAAAAACTGAGAGCTTTCCAAAGATGAGGAATAAGAAAATGATTCCTACTTTCACAATTGCTATTCAACATTGGACCATAAATTCTAGCCAGAGATATTAGACAAGAAAAGAAAATACATTCAAATTGTGAAGGAAGAGGTAAAACTATGTCTATTCACAAATGCTATGATCATATATATTGAAATCCCAAAGTATCTATAAAAAAACACATTCAAAAAATTTACAGCATACAAGACTAACAAGAAATTATTTGTGCTTCTATATATCAGTAGTGAAACATTGGATAAGAAAATTAGGAAAGCAATTCCATTTACAATAGCAACTAAAATAATCTACTTAAGAAAAATGGAGTGAAAGTCATGTATGTTGAAAACTACAAAATTTTGCTTCAAGAAATAAAAGTTCTGAATAAATGGAAAGACATTGGTGTTTATAGATTAAAAAGACATTTTTAACATGTCAGTATTACCCAAAGCAATCTACCGATTTAACACAATTCTTAGCAAAATTCTAACAGCATTTTCACAGAAATGGAAATGTTGACTCTCAAATTTTTATGAAATTACAAGAGACTGAACAGTCAAAGAATATTGAAAAATAATAACAACAATGGAGGACTCGCATTTCCTGAATTCAAAACTTACTACAAAGCTACAGTAATCAACACATAATGGTACTGATATAAAGACAGATATATGGACCAATAAAATGGAAGAGATAACTCAGAAATAAGCTCTCATGTGTATGGTCAACTGATTATCGACAAGGGTGCCAAGAATACTACATGGAGAAAAAAGTCTTTTTAACAAATGATGATGGGAAAACGTAATATCCATATGCAATGTAATGGAATTAAAGTCTTGTTTTACAGGTTATATAAAACTTAATTCAAAATGGATTCAAATCCTAAACTTAAAAGTAAAAAGTATAAAAATATTAGAAGAAATATAAGGGAAAATCTTCAGGACATTATATGTGGCAATGATTTTTTGGGAGAATATGACATCAAAATCACAGATAGCAAAAGAAAAAAATAGACAAATTATACTTTATTAAAATTAAAAATATTTGTGCATCAAAGGATTCTACTAAGAAAACATAAAATGACCTATAAAAGTAACACATATAAATTATACATTTGATAATGGGTTAATATTCAAGCTATATAAACCACATCTAAATCTCAACAACAAAAAACCAAACAATTCAATTAAAATATGAGCAAGGGACTAACATAGACATTTCTCCAAAGAAGATATACAAACGGCCAATAAGAACACAAAAAGATGCTTGAAGTTATTAGTCTTTAGAGAAATGCAAATCAAAACTGCAAGATACAACTTCACACCTTCTAGGACGTCTATAATTAAAACAAAAAAAAGCAAAAAAAAAAAGGAAAAACAAAATAATAAGTGCTTCCAAGGATGTGAAGAAATTGGAATTTTTGTACTTTGTTTGTGGGAATGTTAAATGGAGCATTCCATAAGGGAAAGAAATTGGTGGTTTCTCAAAAAGTTAAACACATAACTATCTTGTAACTCAGTAATTCTACTCCTAAGTGTATTTCCAGAAGACTTGAGAGCAGGGACTTGAGCAGATATTCGTACATGAATGTTTACAGCAGCATTATTTGCAATCATGGAAAGGTGGAAACAATTCAAGTGTCCATGAACAGATGAATTGATAATCAAAAGATATGATACACATAAAATGTAAGACTATCCATGAGAAGGAATAAAATTCTGATATATGCAATACCATGAATCTTTTAAACGTTATCCTTAGTGAAATAATCCAGTCACAGATGAACCAATATTGTGTAATTTCACTCATATAACTTATCTTGAATATCCAAATTCCTAGAGACAGAAAGTAGACCAGAGGTTACCAGTGGCTGCAGGAGATGCGAAAGGGAAAGTTGTTGTTTAATGGGCACAGAGGTTTTTTTGGGGTTGATTACATTTTTATGTATAGATAGTGGTGATTGTTACACCACATTGTGATTGTGCTTAATGCCACTGTATTGCATATTTATGAATGATTCCAATGATAAATATTATGTTATGTATCATTTACTACAATAAAACCAAAACAATCAAAAGACAAGATTTTAAAATATCTATTTGGAAGCATGAGGAACCAAGGACCTAGGAGGAAACAAAACATTTTGTGATAAGATGTGTCTGATTCCTCCACTTTTAATTTAGTGTCATTTTCCATAAAATGACTCACAGTATGAAGACCAAGCAGAAAGCATTGAACTAGAGCTTCCCTCAGTGTGGTGCTGTCAGGAAGATAAAAAAGTGCACTTCAGTAGGACAGACAGTACTTAAGGTGACAACATCCTGTACTAAATAAAAGAAACAGTGAAAAGTTGCCTTAGATTTTTGCTCTTGAAGATTCTAAAAATTTTAACCTGTTTAGGAGACATAGAAACCAAAAACCAAAAAGAAAACAGCTACTAATAGGCCAAAGACAAAGTTAACAAAATATTATCTCAGTGACATGGAGCTAGGGAAACAAACAAACGAATAATTATAGTTAAATTTCCACAAAAAAGAAAGAACTTTAATTTTTAAAAAATAAAAAATCTCCCAGGCTTCTTTTCTTTGAGATTTCTAAAAGTCTACATACAAGACACATGATAAGGAGAGGGAGTAAAATGACCTTTAAAATACCTGAAATGTGCTTCAAATCATCTTGATTCTTATTTAGACCTGTGAAATAATTTATCAAACTTCATTTGAAAAGGAAACTATGGAAAAGGAAATTAATCCATATCTTGATAAATTAACATCACCTCCTACTCTAACATGTTTAATACAATATTCAGCATTCAAATAACCAAAATAAGAGAAACTGTACGATAAAAAAATATCTCTATCGCTCTCTCTCAAAAAGAGAGAGAGAGAGAGAGAGGAAAAAGCAATGGAGTGGTGAAAAAAGTAATGTTGACCTGAACAAAACTCTCAGTCTAACTGATTTTATTGATATTTGTAGAATACTCATCCAACAAGAGTCAAACTTACATGGAGAATTCATCAAGAAAGAACACATTTTGTACCATAAAACACATCTTAAACTTAATAGCATATAAATAATACAAAATACGTTTTTAGGCTACAGTAAAATCAAACTAGAAACAAAATGCATAAATATATCAGAAATATTCTTAAATATGTGGAAATTAAAATGGCATACTTCTGAATAGTACACGGGTCAGAGAATTCTCAAGAGAAACTGAAATGTTTTGAACTAAGTGAAAATAAAAATACAACTTATTTAAGTGTCTGGGATGCAGTGAAAGAAGTGATTAGAGAGAAATTTACAAAAATAACCTAAGTTTCTACCTTAGGAAACTAGAGAAAAAAGCTATTTAAGCCTAAAAAGAAGAAAATACATAAAAATTAGAGCAGAAATTAAATTAAAACCAAGAGGCTAAATATGTTCTTTGAAATGATCAATTATTTTAATTAATATCTATCCAATTGAATTTTTTTACCTATATTCTAGTTCCGTAGGTTTTTCTTTCTTTGTATTTCTCATATGTTCATGACTATTGTTCACCTTTTTACACTAGATCTTTACTTATGTGTAGTTGCTTTGAATTTTTTGTCTTTTTCAACATCTGGGTCATTACTGACTCTGGTTTTATCAACTCTGTTTTTGATGGTTCTTTCCTGCTTTTTAAATTTGTCTTGTACTTTCACTTAACATAACACATCATATTTAGAATACCAGAGACTGAAGTAAATTATATTTACCCCTAGAAATGCACCTGCTCAATTTGTTGCTGTTTTTTGTTTGTTTATTTTGCTGTTAACATGAATGTTTGATTCTTTTTCATCAGGAGCTGAGCTGGGTTTGGGTCTTGTTGCTATGTTTACCTCCAGTGCATAACAGCTTGCATTTTCCTATGCTGTATATCAGGTAGTGGCTGAGGCACCAGAGGGGTTTTTTTCTCAATGTTCTAGATTCATTCTTCATTACTGGCATTAACCCTCTGATCTTGACAAAGAGATATTCTCTCTCTACACTCAGCCCATCCCCAGTGCTCTTCTGTTATTGCTTTTGCTTAATTTTATCTAAGATGTTTGAGGATCAATAATTGTTTTGTATTCTTCTGCTTCAATATTAGGCTTAAGTGGGCCTTGTTTGCTTGGTTCTCTAAGGTGTGCCCTTTTAAGTACCTTTTCCGTTATCCCCAGTTATAGCTAAGAATCTCAGCATCTTAGTTAGGGGATAGAGTTCTTTCAGTCTTATTTAGTGGTAGATCTTTTCTGATAGTATCTAGAAAATTAGGTTGGTGCAAAAGTAATTGCAGTTTAGAATCTTGGATTTAGAATATTGTTCTCCCTTTCCCTGTATGGCAGAAATTTTATTATTGTTTCCTTTACTCCCAGACAGATTTTGACCTGTCTCTTGGATGGAAAGTTTTTCTGTATCTCCTCCAGTAGCTTAGTTTTTGTTTATCATCTCCCTGATGCTGAACATTCTCATGAAAAGCTGGGAATGAGTGCAAATTCCATTTGTGTCTGCAACTCTCAGGGTTTCTATATATACATGCTAGCTATACTCACCTTTTAGCAATTTTTCATATAAAATTTAGCCAGATTCTCAGAGTTTATTACCTACTTGCGTGGTGTCCATGTCTCTTCCTTCTCTGCACTGCCACAGGTGTGCCAGTGCTTACATCCTCTCTCCCCTTGAGTTAACATATATTATTTTAGATATCAAGCTGCTTGTTTGAATCTATCTCCGATAGATTCAAGAAAAGTTATGATTTATGAAAAAGAGTTATGAATGTCACTTAGCAAAAGAAAGGTTCTGGAGTTAAGCAGGCCTTTTCCTTCTTAGATACCAGTTTGATATCCCTTGGTAATATTCATTTTATTCATATATCTATATAAAATGAAATTATTCACCAAATTCTAAGAGATATCTTTCTAATTAACATTCTACTTTTAGTTTATCTTTCCTAGTAATGTTTTAATGAATCTGTAAATTGAAGTCTAGATTACCAACCCTATGTTAAACTTTATAATCCTTGCTAACTCAAAACAAATTATCATTTTGGTAATAACACAACATTGTACTTTGGAAAATTTTAATATTGTTAATAATCTCAGACTAGAAAATATAGGAATCATTGAATAAAGGATACTTTAAAAAATATTTTACATCTATATATCTTAACTGTATATATCTTAACTATATATATATCTTAACTGTATATATCTTAACTATGTAACTTAAACTGTGGCTTGAAAAAGTGGAATGCTTACGGTCTTATGACAGTTTTGGAAAATGTATTATATAATTAGTTCCTTTTTTTCCAAAAAATATGGCACGCTTTCCCTAAATGTGAATGTACATAAACCATCCCATGGGAATTGGTAATGTTTTATTTTGTTTTCGTAATTTAGCCTCAAATACATATAACCTGTTAGACTTTATGTCAGTACAACCACTTTCTTCAACTTCTGTGCTGAAGACAGATTTTTAATCCTACATATGCACCTGGAAGAGAAAGTTCAGGAAAACAATATACTCAGGAAATAGAAATAACCCACATGGCCCAGGACCGGATGATCTAAACCATTTCCAACTTTACATTACCTTTTCCTGGGATTGTGTTCCATTCCTCTGAGACTTTCTGATGTTTTGGGGGGTATACATTTAAAGGGTACAAGAGCAATTTTTTTTACATGAATATATTGTGTAGTGGTGAAATCTTGGCTTTTTGTACATCTGTCACCAGAATGCTGTACGTTGTACCCACTAAGTAATTTACCACCACCTATCACTCTTCTGCCCCCTTCCTTTTGGAGTCTCCAGGATCTGTCATTCCATGCTGTATGTCCATGTGCATACCTTAGCTTTACCTTCCACTTGTAAATGAGAACATTCAGTATTTGACTTCCTGAGTTGTTTCACTTAAGATAATGACCTCCAGTTCATGTTGCTGCAAAAGACATGAATTCATCCTTTTATGTGGCTGAATAGTATTTCAATATATACCATATTTTCTTTATCCAATTATCCATTGATGGACACTTAAGGCTGATTTCATAGTTCTGCTGTTGTGAATAGTGCTGTGATAAACATATAAGTGTAGATATCTTGTTGATATAATTATTTCTTTTGCTTTGGTTAGACACCCAGTAATTGTACTGCTGGATCAAATGGTAGTTCTATTTTTCATTTTTGGAGAAAGCTCCATACTATTTTCCACAGAGGCTGTACTAATTCACACTCCCACCAACAGTGTGTAAGTGTTCTCTTTTCTCTGCATCCTTGCCAACATTAGTTGTTTTTGACTTTTTAATAATAGCCATTCTGACTAGTGTAAGATGACATTCATGATGCTGAACATTTTTTTTCATATTCTTGTTGGCCATTTCTATGCTGTCTTTTGAAAAATATCTATTCATGTGTTTTGCCCATCTTTTAATGAGGCTATTTGTTGTTGTTGTTGAGTTCTTTGAGTTCCTTAATCAGAATTAGCACATTGGACTTCTGCTGGTTTTCCATCAGGACAGTGCTCCAGTCCTCATGCTCCAGGCATTTGTTGAAAAAGATAAAAATAACATAAAGAACAGCATTTAATCAGGAGATAATACTGTAAATGTTTACATGTCCCCCTTTTCTTCATGGTCATGGCCCAAATACATTTTATTTTCAGGGTAGAGGAAGAGTAGGTAATCTTGAGCTTTGGCTAGGAGTTAAATCTAACTCATAAATCCTACAGAAAAAATGAAGCAGGAATAGATATTCTAATACAATGGGATAGAGTGACGGGCAGTTGCATTTCTACTTCTATGAAGCCAAAACTGAGAGTTCTTATACAAAACCAATGTAAATGCTGTTCTAAAATGATATGGGGGAAAACATAAATGGGATACTCATTGTAAAATAATTTTACCTTTAATGTAGTCCAAGGATTTCTTCAAAATCTGATTTTGAAAGAGTTTCTACAATCATTTTAAAATTAATTATTTACCTAAGGGCAGATTTTTAAAAGTAGGCTTTTTTTTTTTTTTCCAAAGGAATGCTCAGAATACTAATTACGGCAAAAACACAGTAAACATAACCTTTTCATAGTCAATTCATTCCAGATGAAATCTCAGGTTACACCAAATCGACATAGGATTGAAAAGCACACACACACACACACACACACACACACATACACACACACACACACACACACACACACACAAAAGATTGTTAGATCTTTAAAATAAAAATCTAACCCAAAGAATGCTATTTAACTTTCCCATTTAGAAGAAAAGTGCAGCTTGCTGCCAGCACTCATTTAATTTTACATCAACATGCTCTTTGAGGCTGAAGCAAAACTGACTGATTTTCAATGTAAATATATATACATTATATATATATAAATAAACTATTATTGGAGTTATTTCTAAGCAGAATATCAGAATTGTCTAAATCATCAGAATCATCTATTTTGGAAAAATTGCATTCATCAAATAAATGTTTGGCCAATGACTGCTCCAGAAGGATGTTAACATCATGCGTAAGAATGCCACGTTTTCTAGGATTTGACATTTCAGCGCTCAAAAATTACTATATTTTGGAAATGGAAATACTACTCCTAAAAACAGAATGCTATAAATAGAATGATGTCTTTTGTTTCCAAAGTCAATATACTAGAGTGATGCGAAAAAATAAATAAATAAAATCCAGATATTTCGTGGCAAAGTTATCTCAGGATAAATGCTGCAGCTGCAACTGCCACCGGCGAGTATTCTTGAGGCAAATGGGAAAAGGGTTAAAACTTGTATTTTTTTAAGCATTTTTTTTTTAAGGATTGGAGCAAAATACACTATGATAGACAGGATTATGCCACTTCCTCCCCAGAGTTTTTTATGCCTTATTCACCTAAACCTGTGAATACATTGCATTACAGGAAAAAAAAAGTTTCCCAGATAACAGGAACCTTATAATAGGGAGATTAGCCTGGATACTCCAGGTGAGCCCAATCTAAGTACATCAACCCTTAAAACAGAGAACTTTCTCTTACCTGTAGCAGAAGAGATTCAGCAGTGAGGAAAGTCAGATAGAATCAAGTCATGATGATTTAAAGCAATACTGCTGATTTGAAGACAAAGGGGGCAATGTGGAGATACTTACGTGATAGCCAGAAAACAAACAAAAACTGGGTTTTCAACCCTATAACTCAGGGTTCCCCAACCCCCAGTTCATGGACCAGTACCAGTCCATGACCAGTTAGGAACCAAGTGGCTGAGAAGGAAGTGAGCGGAGGGCAAGCAAATGTCACGGCTCGAGCTCCACCTCCTGTCAGATCAGCAGAAGCATTAGATTCTCATAGCAGCGAGAACCCTATTGTGACCTGCACATACAAGGGATCTAGGTTGCGCACTCCTTATGAGAATCTAATGCCTGATCATTGTCACTGTCTCCCATCACCCCAAGATGCGACCATGTGGTTGCAGGACCACAAGCTCAGGGCCCCCACTGATTCCACATTATGATGAGTTGTATAATTATTTCATTGTATTTTACAATGTAATAATAATAGAAATGAAGTGCACAATAAATGTAGTGCATTTTAATCACCCTGAAACCATCTCCTTGCCCCTAGTGCATGGAAAAATTGTCTTCCACAAAACCAGTCTTTGGTGCCAAAAAGGTCAGGGACTGCTGGAAGCAACTGAATTCTACCGAGAGCCTGAATGAGCCTAGAAACAGATTCTCCCTGAAAGCTTGAAGGTAATAGCACAGGAACACAAGCTATATTGATTTTGGTCTTCAGAAACCAAGAGCAAATGAGCCAGTCCAGCCCACATGAACTTCTCACCTTTAGAACCATGAGATAGTAAATTTGTGTTGCCTTAATGGGCTACATGTGTGGGAATCTGTTACAGCAGCAAATAGAAAGCTAATGCATTCACTTTAATAATCCCAAATTAGAGTGAAATATAATTCCACAGACAGCAAAACCATTTTTGTTGAAAAGCCCAATGATGAAATTTTAATGTTTTATTTTAGAACAGTAAATATACCTCTCTCTATATAACATATTCATGTATGTATATATTGTGTATGTGTGTGTAAATATTTGCATATAATGAATAGACTTGGCTAATATCCCTGTCTTTATATGTTATTATTCTGCTTATTTCCAACCATTTTGCAGAAATTGGGAAGCAGTGGTTTCATGTTCTATGTGAGATAACATTTATTCACATGAGAATTGTATGTGTTTATATGTTTACACCAATTTAAAAGTTTAACCAAAGTCAGAAAGAATAGAGTTTTAACGTATTTAAAGAAAGTGGGACAAATCAAATATTTTCTGTAAAATTTAAAATATGAACTTTTTTATATTAATATGGTTTATAATGATTTTTTTTACTTCAGGTGATCTTCATGTATATTTAATCTGAAGTAATAGGTTTGAATTAAAGCTTTTGAATTCAAACACATGGCACATACCTTTAGAGAAGAATGGCTTTCAGTTTTGCTCTTATTTAAAGTAGTGGAAAGCTGAAAAACACGGGAAATTTCTTTTATTTAGAGACAATTTTGACAAAATTAAGCAAGTGAAAGTAGTTACCTTGGCCCTTGTTTATTCTGACTCTATTTCAAAGTTGTAAGGAGATGAAAAAGTTGAGGTAAAGTAACTAATCCAAAACTACCTTTGTTTCTTTTATTTATTTATTTTTGAGTATTCTTTGGTCTACTTGAATGTTGTAAGCTGTTTTACTTAATTATGCAGAGGATGATTAGATACATTAGGAAATGTATGAAAATGAATTAAGTTATAAGATTATATTTTAAATTTGTAAAACCAATTTCTATGTAAATAAGGACATGTGATGTTAGGGATAGGAAATGTGATAAATTTAAGAAACAGAAAAGGGGAAGTTTAAGAACGATTTTGAGTTTAGAGAGGACTTTCTGTATCTCTCAATGTCATATTAGATGTAGTAAGACCAACCTAAAACTCTTCCTCAGATAAATACCTCAAGGAAAGCTAGAAGTAAAACTGGCCCCCAAATCAAAAGAGGTACAAGACCTTAAGAGAAACAAAAATAAAACACAACAAATAAAAATGCTTTGAAATAAAAAAATGCTTATGTTTGTATACAACATATTTGTATACATATAAATCAGTATGCACTATCATGTTATTATTATTCTTAACATTAGCTATAATACCATGAAGATATAAGTGAGCAAGGAAGAATTAAAAAAAAAAAATCTGTGTAGCACAGTGACTCACACCCTTACTTCCAGCTACTTGGGAGGTTGAAGCTGGGGGATTCCTCAATCCCAGGAGTTCATACCTGCAGTGAACTGTGATCCTGCTACTGCCCTCCAGCCTGGGCAGCAAAGTGAGACTCCCTCTTTTTTAAAAAAAGAAATCCATGTAAATGAATTGTATTGAAGAAATACTTCTTTCCTAGTATTACACAAAATTGGAGAGTGCAATGTAGAATATTTGGGGGTAAAGAGAACATTTGACTGACTTTGCTCGAATTTTTATATTTTTAAAATTCTAAGATCCTTGCTCAGAAGAAGATGATTATTCATTATTTTGTCTGTCATGCTTTCATGGGTTCACTGACTTTTGTATTTATTGTTAGGGTGTTTGGGTTCCTTTCAATAATTTATTCCCACGAATAAACTATTCAATTTTTCTTGTGAATTGATTTAAATCAACTTAATTATGCAAAAATGAGGCTATATTTTGTAGTGATTGGTTGCATTAGCTGTCAAAAACATGATGTGGAAAATATTAGCTACTCTATTCCACAACCTCAATAGCAGATTACATGAAACTAAGTCTGACGCCAAATTCTGCACCTCATAGAGATATTTATTATATACAAATTGACAAGCAGTCACAAAACATTTTATAAGATATAATCTGTAAACTTAGTGAAACCCCACTTGTTGTCGTTTTAGGTGGTTTCACCACGTGCTTTATAAATAGAACTCAAACCCCAGACCCAGCAGCATTCCCCAGGCAAGACTGTGTAGGAATGCCTGAAAATACTTTGGTGAATGGATCTTGATTAGAAGATGAATGACTCAGAAGACTAGAAAGTATATATTTGTTATACACTATACCCAGAATAGAAATCATGTCCTTATATACTCTGCACAAATATATGATGCCGATGCCCATACCATACCCAAATAACCAAACATGCATTAGCAAGTTACTAAGGGTTTGGGTCAAGGAGCTACTATAACCTACATCTGCTCCCCAATTGTACATAAAACAAGCGCACTCTATCCAAACATACATCAGTGGACAAATAACAACAACAACAAATACTTTGTGCAGTTGACGGCCTGCATTCTGCAATCTCCCTGTTTAATGGGAGGACAGAAGAGCCATCTGGAACACAATCCTGAAAGTGAAAAGTTATGAGACTTTCTGAAGTTTTATATCCGGTTCACAGGTGATGAGGATATCTGAGTTACTTTAACTCTAAAACCTTTAGTTTCACATTTTGGTTTACTTTTAGATTCATAAAAAGAACACACTTCGATCTTTGATCATACTTATTAGCAAGTTGTGTGTGTGTATTGTTTGTTGATAAATTTTAAGAGTTATCTACACAGAACTCTTTGTGAAATAATGCAAATTCATCAGTTTTGTCCTGTGAATTTTTCTATCATGTTGTCAGGTTCACAATTACACCAAAGGTCATGTTGAAGTCCTGAGGGAGCACGTAGATGAGCAGAAAGAACACTCGGGGTGGGGCGTAGGCAGGTGAAAAATGATTTTATTCAGCAGCAGCTGTCATCAACAGCTTTCTCTCACACTATCTGCCCTGTCTTAGCTGCTTAGTCAGGTGGCCCCCACACACAGCTGCATGGCCGGCTCTCCCTTGCCTTCAGGGTCAGAAGCTTAACTCTTTCTCTCTCTGGGCATGATCAAGCTGAGCTGTGTCCTGGCTCCCCTCTGTCCGTATGCAAACACAGACAACTCTGACTGTCTCTTTCTCTGGGGGCCAGTACCCCTGTACAGTGTCAACAGGACAATTATACCTTTTACAGACAATAGTGGCTTAGAGACAAGTGATGGTGTTCCCCATGTTGTGGCTATGGTGGTGAACTTCTCTATGTTATGTCTACATGGTTATGTTAACAAGTGGAGTTATATTCTTGCGCTCTAGACTCATTGAGTCACGCAGGATGTAAACATCCTACCTCAGCCTATCCTTGACCAAAGCACAGCCATGTATTTTCACATGTTAGTTGACCACACATAAAATTAAAATTGAAAGTACCTAGCACTTGCAAAATATAATACAGATTTTACTGAACTAATATTGAAGTGCTAAATTTCAAGAAGTTCAAAATTATAGTCATTGCAAGTAATTTTCTCTTTTTTCTATTTTGTGCATGGTCTCACTGTCATTCTTTCAGTTTTAGTTTCCCAGAAATTTAGAGATTTTTAAAGGTATAATTTCTAATTACAAAAAAAAATTCCAGTTCAAAAATAGAAAGATAGAGATATATATATATACTCTTTAAAGTTTAATTAAATTGATTTTTAAATATTTCCCACATTGTATTTTATATATTTAAATGCATTTTATTGTTTATTTAAAACACTGTAATTATCTTGCCATATTATTTTTATACAACAGGAAATTAATGTAAATGTATCTAATGCAGTCATTATAGTTAGATCTAAAAATAAGAGATTGGATAGTGTTAGTAGTAAAATATGTCAATGCCATACAACAGATATTAGAAGAAATGATATCTGTCAATGAAAAGCAAATAACAGTAAACAGCCCAGCCAAATAATTATTTTAGGTAAATTTCTGGAAAACAGTGTTTCTTCAGAAAACAGTGTTTCTTCAGGAGACACATGTACATACTATAGGCACAGAAACTAAGTTTTATTTGTGATAAAAACTCTCATTTCTATTTGTTTTTCAATTTAAATAAGACAGAATAGAAATCAGAGACGTAACAAATTTGTGGGTACCGCACAATATAATTTCCCATATGTCTTAATCAATAGGATTAATACAACATTTTTCTCTATAAAACAATAATACGAACTACAAGATACGTCTAAATAGTTTCTAGTAATATGCATGAATACCTTGCATGCTTAGTTTCAGTTAAAAAAAAAAGACTATTTCTACCTCAGGAATTATCTTAGTTTCTAATTTAAAGTTGCTAAATACTTATTAAATTAATGTATATCTCTCCCAGGTTTTGTGGTTTATCAGGTTATGGATGTGCTCTTAGATAGAAAAAAGTTATTTAAAAGAAGGTTCTTTTTTATGGTGAGATACATTTTTGGTTGAAAATCATCTGACAACAATACTATAGTCTATTATTTGTAAAGGAATAGTTTATTTTTACTTTGACCAAATTTTGAACTCAAGTATCATTATTTTGAAAAGTCTCAACTAATTTTTATAACTTTTCATCATTATCTCAAAGCTAATAATACCACTTTGCTGGCTTACTTTTCCTAAGTTTAATTGGTTCGCCCTTATAACCAAGGTGACTCTGATCTGGAAGGTTGGCAGTTGCACCTGCAGTATTATGACTACAAATAGATAATAGACCTAAACACTATATTGAGTTGTTCAGAGTGCAGGAGAATCATAACCTTGTAAAATAAAAGCAATTTAAAAACTAGAACAAATTTTGCAAGACTATTTTAGTAGCCAGCACACATTTTTTTTTTTGTTTTGTTACTTCTATATTCAAATAAAACATACAAGTAAGACAGGTCTCTCCTGTTTTCAGATTACATGTGTATGTGAGTGTGTATGTATGTGTGTATACATGTATGTATGTGAGTTAAATTAACTATACATTCAGTTAAAAGTTAAAATATTTTATTGCTAAACTTTGGTTTCACTGACTTCACAGTGGCTTGTAATTGCAGTCCATGTCACAGGTTAGTCAGGCACAGTTTTCATAACCCATAAAATGAATCATAAATGTAAAAGGTGATTTTATTTCAAAGTTTCAAAGTCTATTCATGTTGGAAAATGTATAGCAAAAGGTACCTATGGTAGGCAGGGAATGAGATAAGGGCTTCTCAAAGATGCCTATATCCTAATTCTCAGAACCTGTAAATACGTTACGTTACAAAAAAATTTAGATTGCATATGTAATTAAGTTTGCTAAGCAACGGACTTCAAATTAGAAAGATCACTCTGAAATATTTAGGTGTGCCCAGTGTAATCCCAAACTCCTACAAATGGAAGAAGTTGGAATGGTGTGATATAAAAGGACTCATCTCACCATTGTTTGCTTTAAAGATGAAAGAAAGAGTAAAGAACCCAGGAATACAGGCAGCAGTTAGAAGCTGGAAAAGACAAAGAAACAGACTGACCTCTGGAGGTCCCAGAAAGCATAGCCCTTCCTATACTAGTTAGCTCATTTATTCAACTGAGTACCTCAGCCCCTTCAATCAAGGAAGGAGCTATTCTGACAAGATATTGGGACTGAGAATCAGAATTTATTATAGCATTTATGTATTATTGTTTATTGCTTTTTTAAAACAGACAAGCACAAAATTGTTTTCGTAAGGTTAGTTAAATTTGCATATCTATATGTTGCATCATTAGCATCTACTAGAAATGTGTAAAAGAGAGATAAGTGGGCAGGTGAGGGTTTTACTGTGACCACCCAGAAGTGAGTTGCAGACTTCATGTATGTTTCCTCTTGTCCTGTATCCCACCACTGAAAATTGAAAATAATATATTTTTATTTATTTTTGCAATAAAATGGCACACACTTTCATATTTTGATCAGCTTTCTCTTTTGGATCCCAGTTCCCAAAGTGATTATAATTGGCAAGATGGTCATTATGGATTTAAAAAAATCCATCATACACTATTCATTAAACCATCATACTGTATCTTTACCATGAACCCACCAAAAAGATTCATAATCAACTAGTTGTCATTATTTGTCAGCATTACTTTACCTTTACACAATATTTACCTTCTAAATAATTCTAACTTATAAATATTGGAGCTGAAGTTCTTATATAATTGGTTGGCAAAACCTCCAAGTTTATTGAATTCCATGAGAGACATTGTATGGCAATTAACTGAAAACCTTACTTTGTGCCTTTTGACATTCTGACTCTTAAAGTACCCAATATTAATACACTATTACTATAATCAATGCAGTATACCAACTACCTGTAGCTTTAAAATATTAATTATACAAATTAATTATACTTAGATTTTCAAAGGCAAAAAATGTTGAAGTTAATAAGAACCATGGTAAATTCCTAATAATTAGTGTTACATTAATGCATAAGGTGATATGAAAACTTCAGTGGTGTTATTATAAACTAAAATTTATAGTATTAATATTGCAGTCTTTACACAGGTAACAAGGAAACAACTATAATTCATTTTAATAAGGTGCTTGTTAAATACAGCATGGTGTTTCTGTGTTGAACTATGGCATAAGCTTAAGGTAGAAGACAGAACAATTTACAGATTTATCTGGTTACTTATACTTGGTCTATCCCTTTATGAAAAATACATAGAATACATTACAATTCAACTAACTTATCTCTAAAATTGGAGAGGAGGATCCCTTTACGTATGCCAGTCTTACCCACCAGTGTTCTGGGGATTAAAGGTGGCTACTTTGACTGATATCAAATGATATTGTTTATATACTATGAGTCATGCTGGAATTAATGAAATATTCATAGATAACTTGTTAATAGTGCAGAGTCTATCTGGACACAATGTTTATTCAAGTGATAAGGAAATTGATCTGATCAACATAAGAGTTGTAAGATATTCACAGTTATACTCTTTTTTTTTTTTTTTTTTTTTTTTTTGAGACGGAGTCTCGCTTTGTCGCCCAGGCTGGAGTGCAGTGGCGCGATCTCTGCTCACTGCAAGCTCCGCCTTCCAGGTTCACGCCATTCTCCTGCCTCAGCCTCTAGAGTAGCTGGGACTACAGGCGCCCGCCACTACGCCCGGCTAATTTTTTGTATTTTTTAGTAGAGACGGGGTTTCACTGTGTTAGCCAGGATGGTCTCGATCTCCTGACCTCGTGATCCGCCCGCCTCGGCCTCCCAGAGTGCTGTGATTACAGGCGTGAACCACCGTGCCCAACCCACAGAGTTGTACTCTTATTAGAACACAAATCTATTCATCTGATCAGCTTAGAGAATTCTATTCATATTTTATTTCAAGAGTGATGCATGAACAAAGCTGGTCTGTTTTATTATCTTATAATTCCATTTACAGATATCTGATCATAGCTTATGTATTACCTGTAAATAGAATTGGGGGAAGATATAAAATCTGGGCAATAAAGTATTATCAACTTTTTCTCACTGAGTTTGTCTTTTGCCTAACATCTGTTTTGGAATTGATTAGCACCCGAAACCACAAAGCAATGCCTTTCTCTGGCCCAAGTGCAACCATATCATATATAAGAAGAAAAGAAATTACAGAATGATTCATCATCAAGCAATTCTAAGAGTAAGGCTCCTGTAATGATATCACACAAGAGGGAATAACCCTGTAGGAAAATCTTACCAGTCATTTTTGAGGTTGATTATTGGCACATAAAACTATCCCTCTGAAGCATTTTTGGAAGGATCCAATCAGCCCTGTGAGACCATCTGTTTCATGGTTGCCATAAGGGTAATAGCTTGCAGTTGTGGGCAACACTTGACTCAGTTACTGCACACAGATCTCACTGCCTTAAACGCTGAATTAATGATTCAAAGCACCTTCTTAACACGCTTATTGAACTAATTGGCTCCAAGAAAAGGGTTTTCAGCTGTGAGTCTAACATAACTATCAACATACTATAATAACATTTATATTGTATGACTCTCCTCTTTTATTAAGACCTAGATGGTCATCAAAGAATTCATTCTGTATTCTGTGTTAGAGACTACCATGTGCTTGCTAAAACCTGTTTATTTTCAACCTGGGCATTTTATTCCAATCGATTTCTCAGGTTCCCTTGTAGTTCGGTGTGGCCATGTAAATGAGTTTACATCAATTGAATTGGAGCAGAAGCTGTTCCCTCCTTCACACCTGGCCCATTAAAATTTACAGTTTGTGCCTTTCAGAGTCTTTTTCTCTATATCTACCAATAAAATGGAGAGGATCTATCAGAAGACCATAGGGTGTTAGCAAATGGCAGAACAACAAAAATAATCACATCCATTGAGCAGATGCCTAGCCAAAGAAACTGTTGATACCTTTCTTAAACGCTGTTGAGCAGAAGGTCTTAGTGCTACGCTAATGGGTGCAGCACACCAACATGGCACATGTATACATATGTAACAAACCTGCACATTGTGCACATGTACCCTAAAACTTAAAGTATAATAAAAAAAGGGGGGGGGAAAAAAGAAAAAGCCACCCTACCAATAACTCTTCCATTGCACTGTTATGAGATGCAAATATGACTTTTGAAGGGTTAATTCACTAAGATTTGAAAATTTATCTGTAAAAAACTTGTGTAATTAACACAGAAATTGATGCTAATATTGAGGTGCCTTCTTGGCAGGTTAGAACCATTGGTTTAGTATTCTGGAGGGAGCAGGCAACAGAGCAAATACTTCTGGATGCACGGATAGAGATTTGTCTTATACCTCATCAAAGATTGGCAAAACTCTCTCCCATAATGATTTTCAAGGCAAACAATGTGTTCACTGAGGCTGTATCACTAGCAGAAATTGTTGAAAGTAATCTGAAATGTTTTAGCTACTATTTAATCTATCATAATAATTAAACCAACTTAGGAAAGATAATTATGTTTTTTAAGTGGAGAGCAAGGAATAGAGATATTTTAAAGTCAAAGGCATTTTAGCTTGAAAAGTCTGACTGGCCTTAAATCCAAAAAGTGAAATAATCAAATGACTATAACAACACTTTAAAAAGGCCTTTGGGAAACAAAAACTTTGTGAAACTTCTTAGAGTTAGATAAAGTAAATCAACTTTGTATCCAACTTCAGATTAACAAAGCTCCCTTTCAGATGGTTTCAAAAAATGTCATTAAATTGATGAAAATGACATGAGAGAGAAGAAACAAAGATATATAAGATACCTGGCTTTATGGTCAGATACAACATCTATGTGTGGTTACTTGGTGTACAGAACTTGTGCACCAAGGAATTATATAGCTAAGCAATTTAAAATCCTAGCTCTTTGCTCAGAAAGTTGAGAATTGATAAAACCTTCATAACAGTAATTCTCTAACAGAAAATAGAACATAAAGTCTAAATATGGCTCAAAGGAAAGCATATTCCCCAACTTTCACTTCAGGTGAAGCCACGGAGAATAATATATAGGGAAGAACAGACTTCAGTATGGGGGTAAGGAACATCGAGGAAAGGATCCAAGAGTTCTCTCAGAGACAAGATTGAAGAAACTTGCATCAACTTCCTTAAACATACGACTTCTCAAATTTAAAATTGCTTTGGACTGGGGACAGTGGTGTGATGGCTTTTCTCTCCATGTCCAAACAAAAGTGTTTATTGTGTGTTATTTTGTCTTTGATTAGCCATCCTTGTCATTGTCTTCCTGGTAATTTAACAGAGTCCATTGTGAGTAAATAACATATAATTTTGTTTACAGGCCTTGAACAAGAAAATAGAGTAAGACTATGCACCTACTGGAGATTCTGAGTTTTAAGTTGGATGCAAAATCTAATGGAATCTTAACTCCAAAGACATAAGGGATATTTCTTCAATTATCTGTGTGACAAATTTTATTTATTTTAAAAATCAGTTAACTTATCAACTCTGGTTTTTGATGTGAGGGAGCAGCTGGGTCCACAGACCCTCTAGATCTTTCTGATTCAGTCCTTTCAGAGCCAGGTATCAGCTGGAGGCCAGTTTCTCTTTCAAGTAACTAGCATCTTGAAAGTTGTAGTCTTGGTGATGGTTTGAAAACAACGTGCATTCTACCTTGTTCTCACTTGTTTCAGTTTCCCATTCCTCTCCCCGACTTAATATTCATCTTTACTTCTCAATTTACTGATTGGTTGACTTCAGGACAGCAAAAAACACAGAAGAAATGACCTGTTTTTTAATAGTTATAATAATAATTTAAGTCAAATCCTTATAATAAATGTCATAATCAATATTATTCCTTGTAATACATTCTTTTGAGTACTAAATGATATATAAACAGGAATATGGCAGAACATGCCAAGTGTTTCAATATATTTTTCCTATTTAGCACATATCTACAGTACATATGTCATGACCCCCTTTGCAGCTGGAGTAATTAAGCATTTGAGCCAATGAAACGTATGTGGAAATCATGTATACTAGGTATAAACACTCTCCGTGTCTTCCTACAGTGGGCTGAACAGAGATAACTTGTACAAGGTGGAACCAGAAGTATGAAGAGCCTGGGCCCTTGAGTAATCACACTGAGAAACAGTATGACCAGGAACACCCCACTGAAATCTGACCTACACCTGAAATATTTTTATGTTAAACCATTGAGATTTCAAGTATCTATTAAAGCAGTTATCATTTACTTAATTCACCGCATATCTACAGTATCTCCCTGTCTTCTCTTTAGTAACTAATGTTCCAGGTATGTTGGGCAAAAGCAATTGGCATATGGGGGTTAACCTATACTCAAATAAAGTAATTACCCTCAGCTTCAAAATGTCTGATCCTTTAATATTCCCATCAAATCTAGTGCTGCTCATTTCCACTGTTTCAAATTTTATTATTTTTATTAATATTTCTTATTATTCTTGGTTTAAATTGTCAACACACTGTCTTTTCTATGTAATCACATTTTATGAGAAAGTATGATAAATATATCCTCCAAATTCACATAACAATTACCGAGAAAGTGAGGAAAATTCAAGACCAAACCTGACGATTAATTTTTGCTGCTCAGAATCAGAATACATCTTCACATTGAGATCTGAGATTGGGTGGATCTGACACTTTTTGGATGAAAAATTTAAATTAATTGTTAAGTCATCTAAAACACTCATTTCCAGTTGGACTTTATAATCTTACCTCTACATATGTAAAATAATATATCAACTGCTTGAGACAAATCATCTATGAGCTGTTCTAATCTAACAATCTTAAAACCTTATTTTAAAAAAATTGTTGAATTTGACTTTTCTTACCAATTGGCAGTACTTAAGGTGATACATTCTCATAATACTTATAAATTATTTATTAATGTGGTAGACAGCTCTGCCAGACAACTTTACTTTGTTTTACTATCTCTATGATATAGTTTTTTGCTGTTTTTAGTTAGAAAAGTAAAACAAGTATTTGCATCTTATTTTCAACAACTATCAAATCCTCAAAGGAGCTATTCTTCACTATCCTATCATATATCATGTCCTCACTTCATTCCATCTATGTATATTATTTTTATGTCCTTGTATTAATTAATTATTTTATAGCATCTTTTAAAATATGAAATATTTTAAGTATATTTACTGGGGTTTTCTGATCTGAATCTCCATTTACAAATTAAGCTTCTAAAAAGCTGAGACTCTAGATCTTTTTCTACTACTGTATAATCAATAACTAGCATATGAGATATAGTAAGTACCGATTAATTAAATGAATTGTAGATATTGTTATACAAATTCTGCATCTTTTCCACATGCACCTGGGAGATGATTTTCTTGGCACTAAATAAAGTGAGTTCTATAAGTTTTATTGTTTTCTGGGGCTAATTCAGAAGTTACTAATTATGATGGTTAATAAATATTTTTGAATTAACATTAAATTATACATAAAATAATTTAATGCTTGCATTTTCCCCTAATACATTCATAATGCAAAAATAAATACACATGGTGTAACATAACTTGGGGAAATAATACATTGATATATATGTTTTACAATATTTCACTTTTTATTTCTAGGCTAGTCTTTCTAATTACTTATTTTATTATTAGCTGAGATTAAATTACCTATGTAATTGCACCTGCCCAATGTCTAATTTTAAATATTACCTTATTTACTTTGATAATAAGTAAAGCATGTTAATTATCCAAAACTCAGAAATAAATTTTAAATATTCACTACACATCCATAACTACTACTATTTTATTACATATTACAATCAGTTTTTAAATTACTTATCTATATATTATGAGTACAGATTTGTGATAGTATGGATTCTTTAAAACTGTTATTTTTGAAAGCTCAGTATAATCTATCATTTAATTGTACAGTAATTAATCAAAATATATGCTCTTTTCATTATAGTTTTGGTTTTAACACTAATTTGACTATACAGTTATGCGGGGATATATTCTGAAAAACTATGTATATATATATTACATATGCATTTATTCAAAGTTTTTGTATACCTTCAAAAAGATATATATGTATTTAATATGTATATATTTATTGCATATATATATAATTTTTACATATATCCATTTATAAAGCAATGATGTGTCAAAAACATTCATATCATCTATATTATAACATATTATTGCTTAATTGATTGGCCACAAATTATTTTTCTGTATACAGTTGCCTGGTCTGCCTGAGAATGTTTTATTTTCTACAATCAAATATAGCTATCTTCTTAATTGTAACATATCATTTAACTGTACCATAATTAATCAAAATATAGTAAATATATATATATATATTTTTTGAGGGAGGATGGAGTTTCACTCTTGTTGTCCAGGCTGGATTGCAATGGCACAATCTCGGCTCACCACAGCCTCTGCCTCCCGGGTCCAAGTAATTCTCCTGGCTCAGCCTCCCGAGTAGCTGGGATTACAGGAATGCACCACCATGCTTGGCTAATTTTCTGCCTGTTGGTCAGGCTGGTCTCGAACTCCTGACCTCAGGTGCTCCACCCGCCTCAGCCTCCCAAAGTGCTGGGATTACAGGCATGAGCCACTGCGCCCAGCCACATTCTTTTCATTATAATGAAAATCTTCTTAATTTACTTCCATTTTTATTTATTTATTTTTAATTGAAATAATGTATATATTTATCCTGCACAACATGATGTTTTGAAATATGTATACATTGTGCGATAGCAAAATTGAGGTATTTAACTTACCTCTCATACTTACCATTTTTTGCGGTGAGAAGACTTAAGGTCGAAACAAGAATATTGCTTTTTTTTGCTCTATGTGCACTTCTCTGCTATCAGTGAGCTTGGATTTGCTTTTATATATATTGGCCTCTCTTAAATTCTTCTTTTGCACACTTACATTTTATATCTTTTGATAATCTTCCAATTATTTGGTAAAGGAAATTTAGAGCTAAGCTAAATATATACTAATAAGATTCATGAATATAAATATTTAATATTTACCCTCTATACATAATTTATTAATTGTAGCCTAGAGAAATCTATTCAAAAATACAATAAAACATTTTAAATAAAAACTTTAATAACCAATATTAAAATATTTTGGAATTTTTTTCTGTCACATCATTGATGTCAAATCACTGGTCTAGCTTATTATTTTAGGATATTCACGTATCTGGTAATCAACCAAGAACATGTTTAGTGGGAAGGGGTGGTAAAATTACATGTGTGACAAAGTATATATAATCATTAGAAACAGTAAATGTAGAAGATAATGCTAGTTGATGAGTATAAGTCTTAACATTTAGACATTGTGGTCCAGGAAGCAAAATAAGTTTCAGCTATGAGAGCTGAAATGTTAGTTGAGAAATACACAGAATTAATAGCTCCAGAGGAATTATTATATTTTACAACCAGGTTAAAAAATGTCTTTCTCTTATATTAGGCTGTTCTTGCCTTGCTATGAAGAAATACCTGAGACTGGGAATTTTATTTTTTAAAAAGAGGTTTAGTTGGCTCAGAGTTCTGCAGGCTTTACAGCAAGCATGCTGCTGGCATATGCTCAGCTTCTAGTGAAGTCTTGGGGAGCTTTCAGTCATGGCAGAAATCAAAGCAGGAGCAGGCACTTCACATGCTGAAAACAGGGGCGAGGGAGAGAGAGAGTGGGAGGGTGCCGCACACATTTGAATAACTAACATCTCATGAGAACTTACTGTTTTGAAGACAGCACCAAGCCATGAAGGATCTGCCCCCATGCCTCAAACACCTCCTACCAGGACCCACCTCCAGCATTGGGGATTATAATTCAATATGAGATTTGAGAAGGGACAAACATCAAAACTGTGTCACTGAGACTCCTATTTGTTTTCCAAATTTTAGATATTCAGCCAAGTCAGAGAATAATGTACAGTCTCTGTTCATTTTTCTCTTTCTTAGTTGATTTTATCTTTTGTGAGTTCATAGAGATCACCTTCTTCAATTATTTAGATCTACAATTGAGGCTTCAAGAGTAAGGATTAGTTTACACAACAAATTGTTTAAATATCATGATTTTTAAAATGTGAAGAAAATCACATCTATGCACACTATAATAAAAAAATCTTAAAACCAAAGCTTAGAGAAAATCTTGAAATATTCAACATAAAAATACGTATTATGCACAGTGGAACAGAACAACGCATTAAGTAAATGATAACTTTTCTTGAGAAATATATAAATCCAGAAGAAAATGGAACAATATATTTAATGTGTAAGGCAAAATAAAACAAATGAAACACTTCAAATATCAACTTTATCCTCAGTAAAAAAAAAATATATATCCTTAGAAATAAAGTTGAGACATAGTAGTTATGAGTGTCTGGGTAGTCTCCTCTTCAACTGAACTACGCAGATAAAACAAACATAAAACTATAAAATGCAGACAAAAAAAAAAATCCTACTACATGAAGGGCCTGGAGACTGATCGCATGTGAGCAGATGCTGAGGGAAATCTTGTAAGTGGATAGTGATTAAAACAGAAGAAAAAATAAAATTAAGCAAATAAAAAAATAATCAAAGTCTAACAATATTGTGTTGTGCTAGCCTACGCTACAAAAAAATCTAAAAAAAAGGACACTACAAGGAAATTCAGATCATCAGGGAAGAATGCAGAATGGAAAAATTCAAAATATATTTTTAGATAAAAATTATTATTTTGAGACACTTTGAATTCCCAAAATACTTAATTTAAAATAAAAATTTATAACATTGTCTCACGTGGATTATTATGCATATATACGTAATACATATCTACAACACAAAAGGTGGAGAGTAATAAGACCTATACAAAGTTTCTATATTTTTATAGAAAGTAGTAAAATACTGTCTATTGTAGACTGTGAAAAATGAATTATGTGTATAATAATCGCTAAGGCAAACTCTAGTAACATTCAAAACAGTTTATCTAAAAAGAGATTGAGGATAAAATGGTGGTTACTGGTGGTGTGGTGGGGCAGGGAGAGATATATATCAAATAATACAAGGTTGCAGATACGCAGGATGAATAAGTCTAGAAATCTTATATACCACCTGAAGACTATGCCTAATAATATTGTACTGTATTTGGGACTTTTGCTAAAAGAGTAGATTTTAGGTGTAGATTTATAACAAATAAGATAACAATTGAATACGTTAATTTTCTTGACTATAGTTATTATTTCACGATGTATAAGTAGGTCAATATATCATATCCTTAAATATATACAATGAAAATAATTCAAAGAGTTAACAGAAAACTTATAGGCCAGGTGCAGTGGCTCACACCTGTAATCCCAGCACTTTGGGAGGCTGAGGTGGGTGGATCACCTGATGTCAGGAGTTTGAGACCAGCCTGGCCAACATGGCAAAACCCCGCCTCTAATAAAAATACAAAAATTAGCCAGGTGTGGTGGTGTACGCCTGTAATCCCAGCTACTGGAGAGGCTGAGGCAGAAGAATTGCTTGAACCCGGGGGGCAGAGGTTGCAGTGAGCCAAGATGGCACCACTGCTCTCCAGGCTGGATGACAGAGCAAGACTCTGTCTCAAAAAAAGAAAAATAAATAAATATATATATGTATATATAAAATATATAAATTATATATAACTATATATTTATATTTATATATAATTATATATAACTATATTTACAAAAGAAATTCAACTAGTATGTTTCCAAAAACATAGGAAAGGAGTAGCACAGAAATAAAAATGAGGCACAAATAGAAAATGAAAAATAAAATAATAAACCCAACTACATTGATGATTAACTGTTAGCAGACAAAATATAACTAAAAAATAGAAATTATTACAATAGTCTGAAAGGTAAAATAAATATAGTCAATCTTCAAGCGACATATTTTAAATATTACAGAAAGTAGTTTGAAAACAAATTCCTGTAAAATGACATACCTAGCAATTCATGAATATAGGAAGGCTAAAGTTGCTATATTAATATTACATAAAAAAGAATAAGTGTAGGCTCTAGTAGGTATAGTGTACAGCAGTTAGAAGACTATTTCAGAGATAATGAGAAATATGGCAGAAAGATAGAAGTGAAAATTCTTCAGTATGAAATGAGAGTCATAAATGTGTATAAATGTAACAGACCTTCAAAATATCTAAAGTAAAACTATTATAACCAAAGGATATAAAAACATTTTCAATCATATTGTAGAAATAACATCTCTATCTTAGCAATTGACAGGCAACTTTAAAAAATGACATAGATGATTCTAATCGTATTAACAAATGAAAAATATTATGAACCAGTTTGTATAATTCATATTTATAGACATAATATCTAGCAAATATAGGGAAAAAAACTACAGTATTTTGAAGATATGAGATAGAGTCAATAAGGTGGACACAATTTTAGGCCATAAAATACTCTCAAGCTTTTTAAAATATTGAATAATAAAGTACATTTTTTACAACAATTGGAATTAAATGAAAGTACAATGACACCTTGGAAATTCAATATGTTTGGAAATTAATAAACAATGTAGAAACCAAAGTAAGAAGTTTAAATCTTATTTCTTAAAGGTAAAATATACAAACACTAACAATATGAATTACATAATCTGATACTCCCATAATTACTCGATTACATTTATCAGACATTTAAAGAAGTGAAAATGCAATATTTCACAGACTATTTTAAAAATACAGAAGTAGAAAATGCTACCCAACTTATTTTATGAGGCCACAGTGATCTTGATATCAAAACCAAGCAATAACATTACAATAATAATAATGATACATACTATTATAGACAAAGTCCCTGTTGCAACAGGCAATCTTCCATTGGCCCTGAGCATTCATACATGTTTTTACTGCTCATGCCCAAAATGTAAAGCTCTGAACAGTCTTTACCAAGACCATCTCTCGTTGTTTGCAGGGAATAACCTGAGAGATGAGTTATATAACACCCAGATCAGACAGCAGACTAGCTTTCATTTGATATAAAACAGTGAATACTCCAAACTCCATTTACCTATAATGAACACAACCCACTGTATGTGCAAACATTGATGCTGACCTCTATGCAGAGGACATGGAGAGCTGATACCAATGAACATAAAACTCTGGCTATGATTAAAAGTACATTATGCTGGGCCTAGGCGTCTTTGCCTTCTGCTAGTATTGATGAAGCTAAGATCAGCTACTTGTTAGCCTGCAAGTACCTGTGGTGTAAAATCTCAGAACCAGCACAAGTTTTGACAATCTCTCAAGAACATACAATAATTTGTTGGCAAATCTAATTCAGGAATATGTAAATATAAGCAATTGTTATTTATTTTACAAATGCAAAGTTGATTTTACATCCAAAATTATTCAGTATAATGGAATAAAGGAGCGAATCATTAGGATCATTTAAATAGATCCAGAAATAGTTTACAAGTTCAAATAAACCTTCGTGATTAAAATTTGTAGCAAACTAAGATTCAAAAGAAACCGCAACTGATAGAGAACCCATTAAGCATGAAACTTAATAATAAACTTTGAAATATATTTACCTTAATAGTAATAAGAAAGCAAGGGTACATCAATGCCTGAATATCTTAGAAAAATGAATGAAAGCATAAAGCTGGTGAAGGAAAAAATGTATTACATATATAGTCACACATGGCATAGTTGTTTATATAGAAACCATAGGTTCCACACAAAAACTACTAAAGTAATGTGTAAACGATCAGAGGAATCAAATTTATTACTAAAAAATTGTTAATTTTATATAAAACCAGCAAACAATTGGAAAGTAAAAGGTAAAAATATTTACCTTTTATAGTGATACTAAATATAATATTGATACTAAACATAAGCTAATTTGAAATAAATAAATGAAAAGTTCTGTTATGTTTATCTGTTGGAAAATCCAAAATATTTAAAGATTTTTAAATTATTTCCAAATTGACCTGTAGATGCAGTGCCATCCCATAATAATCCTAGTAGCATTGTTTTTAAGGTAAAAATTGACCATTTGAATCTACGATTTATAGGTAATTTCAACGAGTAGGACTTGGTAGAAGAGGAATCAGGAAGGACATGATTAAAAACACTTTCAGTGAAGGACTGAAGACATAAATCTAGTTTGAGTTTGCAAAGTAATAATCAATGATAACTAAGTAAAGACACTAGATACCTATAACTTTTATCAGAATTTTACTGGGACATAGTTTATGGGATGAGAAAGATTTTATTTGTGTATTTGTGCTTTGGATTTGTGTTGGTTTGATTTCATTGGTTTGGGCTGTGTTTCACTTGATTTAATAAAATGGCCAAGAGCATATTCATAAGGTCATGAAAATAATATAATAGACTGAAGATAAAGTTGCAAGGGAAAAAGGAGGAATCTTGTAGATACTACACACTGACGTAAGTGAAAGGTGATGGAATTCAGAGGACAAATTAAGACTCTTCCCTTTAAAAAGGGGAAGTAGAGAAAAGTCCTCTATAAGAAGCAGAGGAAAGGCCATTCTTGCAATAATTGTATTCACTTGATTATGAAAAAAATAATGGTTTTCTCATCCAGTTGTTCTTGTGTAAGCTAAGTCTCTTAATGATATTTCTAAAATCAGCACAGACTTTTGACTTAGTTTTCTAGAAACCCCAAATGTTCATGTCTACTTAAAAAAATAGTGACTTAAAACATAGATATTGTAAATCATCCCTACAAAAAGTATTCTATCAATTTTAGATTAAGTTCCAAATATGCAGGGGTTTGAAATTCCATTAGTAAACTCAGTTTTGATTTTGATCTGAACACCAAACAATATTTAAATTTATTATCATATTTTTATACCTTCTGTAATATAAAGAAAGAAACCTTATACCTTGTATTCTACTCCAGTTGTCCAGGTTTGGGGAAGTTTAAGGGCCCAAATCTTGAAAATATTTTTATAATTACTTTTCTCATTTATCATATTCATCACTTGTGTTCCAGTTAATTTTTTAAATCTTTAATATGGTTTCTACTAGAATCCCTTCCTCAGCACAGTGTATTAACAACTTAAATGTATTAGAGTTATTGACTTGAATTTTAGATTATGCCAAGGTAGGATATTTATGAAATAGAAAATTGTCATTTTTCAGTGGTTCGAACCATTTCTAGCCCTGAGATAAATGTCATAGTCTGAAAATTTTACTTTATTAATCTATATTTAAACAAAAAAGGAAATGGACTATTACCATACTGAATAAGAGTGTTAAATTCATATGGAGACCTATACAGTCTAAACAATCTCTTATTCTTGAGATTACTATCTTTCATATAGAATATAATAGGCTGAAATGTGTTCAGTCATAGACTGCTTGCCTTAGAGCAGTCATAAAAATGACTCATTCACAACTTCTAGGAACAAATTTCATGGTAGAGAATACTTAAACTAAGTCTTTTATTGAATAAGTTATATACAGATAAGATTCAAGTTGACTGAAAGCATTGAGACTGATCCTACAATAGATGCTAAAGTTAAATATAACATCAAAGAATCTCATGTGACAAAAGATCACGTCGAGAAGTAAAAGATAAGGCATGCTTTTCTTTAAAGAATAAGTTGGGTGGCTGGCAAGCTGTCTGAATAGGAACAGCACAGTCTGTAGCTCCCAGCAAAATCAACCCAGAAGGCATCTGATTTCTGCATTTCCAACGGAGGTACCCGGTTCATCTCACTGGGACTGGTTAGACAGTGGGTGCAGCTCACGGAGGCCGAGCTGAAGCAGGGTGCTTCACCCTGCTTCAGGGCACCTCACCCAGGAAGTGAAAGGGGTCAGGGAACTCCTTCCTCTAGCCAAAGGAAGCCATGAGGGACTGTGCCATGAAGAACAGTGCATTCCGGCCCAGATACTATGCTTTTCCCATGGTCTTCAGAACCCGCAGAACAGGAGATTCCCTTGGGTGCCTACGCCACCAGGGCCCTGGGTTTCAAGCACAAAACTGGGCTCCTGTTTGGGCAGACACTGAGCTAGCTGCATGAGTTTTTTTTCATACACCAGTGGTGCCTGGAATGCCAGCGAGACAGAACCACACACTCCCCTGGAAAGGAGGCCAAAGCCAGGGAGCCAAGTGGTCTGGCTCAGTGGATCCCAACCCCACAAGCTAAGATCTACTGGCTTGAAATTCTTGCTGCCAGCACAGCAGTCTGAAGTCCACTTGGGATGCTCAAGCTTTGTGTGGGGAGGGGTGTCCACCATTATTGAGGCTTGAGTAGGTGGTTTTCCCCTCACAGTGTAAACAAAGCCTCTGGGAAGTTCAAACTGGGCAGAGCACACTGCAGCTCAGTAAACCGCTGTAGCCAGACTGCCTCTCTAGATTCATCCTCTCTGGGTATGGCATCTCTGAAAGAAAGGCAGCAGCCCCAGTCAGGGCATTATAAATAAAACTCCCATCTCCCTAGGACAGAGCACCTGAGGGAAGGGGCAGCTGTGGACGCAGCTTCAGCAGACTTAAACGTTCCAGCCTGCCAACTCTGAAGAGAACAGTGGATCTCCCAGCACAGCACTAGACCTCTGCTAAGGGACAGACTGCCTCCTCAAGTGGGTCCCTGGTGCCCATGTCTCCTGACTGGAAGACACCTACCAGCAGGGATCAATAGACACCTCATACAGGAGAGCTCTGGCTGGCATCTGGCAGGTGCCCCTCTGGAACAAAGCTTCCAAAGGAAGGACCAGGCAGCAATCTTTGCTGTTTTGCAGCCTCTGCTGGTGATACCCAGGCAAAGAGGGTCTGGAGTGGACCCCCAGCAAACTCCAGCAGACCTGCAGCAGAGGGTCCTGACTGTTAGATGGAAAACTAACAAACAGAAAGGAATAGCATCAACAAAGGACATCCACAGACAAACCCCATCCAAAAGTCACCAACATCAAAGACCAAAGGTAGATAAATCCATGAAGATAAGGAAAATCCAGCACAAAAAGGCTGAAAATTCCAAAAACAAGAAAGCCTCTTCTCCTCCAAAGGATCAGAACTCCTCTACAGCAAGGGAACAAAATTGGATGGAGAATGAGTTTGATGAATTGACAGAAGTGTGCTTCAGAAGCTGGGTAATAAGAAACTCCTCCAAGCTAAAGGAGCATGTTCTAACCCAATGCAAGGAAGCTAAGAAGCTTGAAAAAAGTTAGAGGGAAGGCTAACTAGAATAACGAGTTTAGAGTAGAACATAAATGACCTGATGGAGCTGAAAAACCCAGTATGAGAACTTCTTGAAGAATACACAAGTATCAATAGCTGAATCATTCAAGCAGAAGAAAGGATATCAGAGATCGAAGATCAACTTAATGAAATAAAGAATGAAGACAATATTAGAGAAAAAAAGAATGAAAAGGAACAAACAAAGCCTCCAAGAAATATGGGACTATGTGAAAAGACCAAACACTACGTTTGATTGGTGTACCTGAAAGTGACGGGGAGAATGGAACCAAGTTGGAAAACACTCTTCAGGATATTAACCAGGAGAACTTCCCCAAACTAGCAAGACAGGCCAACATTCAAATTCAGGAAATACAGAGAACACCACAAAGATACTCCTCAAGAAGAGCAACCCCAAGACACATAATAGTCAGGTTCACCAATGTTGAAATTAAGGAAAAAATGTTAAGGGCAGCCAGAGAGAAAGGTTCCCATAAAGGGAAGACCATCAGACTAACAGTGGATCTTTCTACAGAAATCCTACAAGCCAGAAGAGAGTGGGGGCCAATATTCAGCATTCTTAAAGAAAATAATTTTCAACCCAGAATTTCTTATCCAGTCAAACTAAGCTTCATAAGTGAATGAGAAATAAAATCCTTTACAGATAAGCAAATTCTGAGAGATTTTGTCACCACCAGCCCTGCTTTACAAGAGCTCATAAAGAAGCACTAAATATGGAAAGGAAAAACCGGTAGCAGCCACTGCAAAAACATACCGAATTGTAAACACCATCGACACTATGAAGAAACTGAATCAACTAATGGGCAAAATAACCAGCTAGCATCATAATGACAGGATCAAATTCACACAAAACAATCCTAACTTTAAATGTAAATAGGCTAAATGACCCAATTAAAAGATACAGACTGGCAAATTGGATAAAGGGTCAAGACCCATTGTTGTGCTGTATTCTGGAGATCCATCTCATGTGCAAAGACACACATAGGCTAAAAATAAAGGGATGGAGGAGGATTTACCAAGCAAATGGAAAGCAAAAAAAAAAAAAAAAAAAAAAAAAAAAAAAAAAAAAGCAAGGAGTGGTTGCAATCCTAGTCTCTGATAAAACAGACTTTAAACCAACAGACATCAAAAAAGACAAAGAAGGGCATTACATAATGGTAAAGTGATCAATGCAACAAGAAGACCTAACTATCCTAAATACACATGCACCCAATACAGGAGCACCCAGATTCATAAAGCAAGTTCTTAGAGACCTACAAATAGACTTAGAATCCCACATAATAATAGTAGGAAATTTTAATACCCCACTGTCAATATTAGACAGATCAACAAGACAGAAAATTAACAAGGATATCCAGGACTTGAACTCAGCTCTGGACCAGGTGGACCTAATAGACATCTAAAGAACTCTCCACGCCAAATCAACAGAATATACGTTTTTCTCAGCATCACATTGCACTTATTCTGAAATTGACCACATAATTGGAAGTAAAACACTCCTCAGCAAATGAAAAAGAATGGAAATCATAGCAAACACTCTCAGACCCCAGTGCAATCAAATTAGAACTCAGGATTAAGAAACTCATTCAAAACTGCACAATTAAGTAGAAACTGAACAACCTGCTCCTGAATGACTACTGGGTAAATAACAAAATTAAGGCAGAAATAAATAAGTTCTTTGAAACCAATGAGAACAAAGACACAATGTACCAGAATCGCCTGGACACAGCTAAAGCAGTGTTTAGAGGGAAATTTATAGCACTAAATGCCCACAAGAGAAAGTGGGAAAGATCCAAAATCAACATCCTAACATCACAATTAAAATAACTAGAGAAGCAAGAGCAAACAAATTCAAAAGCAAGCAGAAGGCGAGAAATAACTAAGATCAGAGCAGAACTGAAGGAGATAGAGACATGAAAAAAGAACTTCAAAAAATCAATGAATCCAGGAGCTGGTTTTTTGAAAAGATTAACAAACTACCATCAGAGAATACTAAAAACACCTCTACACAAATAAACTAGAAAATCCGGAAGAAGAGGAAAAATTCCTGGACACATAACACCCTCCCAACACTAAACCAGTAAAAAGTCGAATCCCTGAATAGACCAATAAAAAGTTGTGAAATTGAGGTAGTAATACCCTACCAACCAAAAAAACCCAAGACCAGACAGATTCACAGCCAAATTCTACCAGTGGTACAAACAGGAGTTGGTACCATTCCTTCTGAAACTATTCCAAACAATAGAAAAAGAGGGACTCCTCCCTAATTCATTTTATGAGTCCAGCATCATCCTGATACCAAAACCTGGCAGAGACACAACAAAAAAAGAAAATTTCAGGCTAATATCCCTGAAGAACATTGATGCAAAAATCCTCAATAAAATAATGGCAAACCAAATCCAGCAGCACATCAAAACGCTTACCTACCACGATCAAGTGGGCTTCATCCCTGGGATGGAAGGCTGGTTCAACATATGCAAATCAAAAAATGTAATCCATCAATAAACAGAACCAACGACAAAAACCACATGATTATCTCAATAGATGCAGAAAAGGCCTTCAAAAAAATTAAACAGCCTTTCATGCTAAAAATAAACTAGGTATTGATGGAATTTATCTCAAAATAATAAGAGCTATTTATGAAAAACCCAGAGCCAATATCATACTGAATGGGCAAAAGGTGGAACCATTCCCTCTGAAAACCAGCACAAGACAAGGATGCCCTCTCTCACCACTCCTATTCAACATAGTATTGGAAATTCTGGCCAGGGCAATCAGGCAAGAGAAAGAAATAAACGGTATTCAAATAGAAAGAGAGGAAGTCAAATTGTTTCTGTTTGCAGATTACATGATTGTATATTTAGAAAACCCCATTATCTCAGCCTAAAATCTCCTTAAGCTGATAAGCAACTTCAGGAAAGTCTCAGGATACAAAATCAATGTGCAAAAATCACAAGCATTCCTATACACCAATAATAGACAAGCAGAGAGCTAAATCATGAGTGAACTGCCATTCATAATTGCTACAAAATGAATAAAATACCTAGGAATACAACTTCCCAGGGATGTGAAGGACATCTACAAAGAGAACTACAAACCACTGCTCAAGGAAATAAGGGAGGACACAAACAAATGGAAAAACATTCCATGTTCATGGATAGGAAGAATCAATATCGTGAAAATGGCCATACTGCCCAAAGTAATTTATAGATTCAATGCTATCCCCATCAAGCTACCATTGACTTTCTTCACAGAATCAGAAAAAAACTACTTCAAATTTTATGTTGAACCACAAAAAGAGCCTGTAGAGCCAAGACAATCCTAAGCAAAAAGAACAAAGCTGGAGGCATCACACTACCTGACTTCAAACTATAATACAAGGCTACAGTAACCAAAACAGCATGGTACTGGTACCAAAACAAATATATAGACCAATGGAACAGAACCGAGGCCTCAGAAATAATGCCAAACATCTACAACCATTTGATCTTTGACAAACTTGATGAAAACAAGCAATGGGGAAAGGATTCCCTGTTTAATAAATTCTGTTGGGAAAACTGGCTAGCCATAACCGGAAAACTGAAACTGGACCCCTTCCTTACACCTTATACAAAAATTAAGTCAAGATGGATTAAAGACTTAAATGTAAGACCTAAAAGCATAAAAACTCTAGAAGAAAACCTAGGCAATACCATTCAGGACACAGGCATGGCCGAAGACTTCATGACTAAAACACCAAAAGCAACGGCAACAAAAGTCAAAATTGACAAATGGGATCTAATTAAACGAAAGAGCTTCTGCACAGAAAAAGAAACTATCATCAGAGTGAACAGGCAACCTACAGAATGGGAGAAAATTTTTGCAATCTATCGATCTGACAAAGGTCTAATACCCAGAATCTATGAGGAACTTAAAAAATTTTAAAAGAAAAAAAAACATCAAAAAGTGGGCAAAGGATATGAACAGACATTTCTCAAATAAAACATTTATGCAGCCAACAAGCATATGATAAATAGCTCATCGTCAATGGTCATTAGAGAAAAGCAAATCAAAACCACAATGAGATACCATCTCACACCAGTTAGAATGGTGATCATTAAAAAGTCAGGAAACAACAGATGCTGGAGAGCATGTGGAGAATAGGAATGCTTTTACACTGTTGGTGGGACTGTAAACGAGTTCAACCATTGTGGAAGACAGTGTGGCTATTCCTCAAGGCTCTAGAACCAGAAATACCATTTGACCCAACAATCCCATTAACCCAAATGATTATAAATCACTGTACTATAAAGACACATGCACATGTGTATTTATTGCAGCACTACTCACTATTCAGCACTATTCACAATAGCAAAGACTTGGAACTAAAACCCAAATGCCCATCAATGATAGACTGGATAAAGAAAATTTGGCACATATGCACCATGGAACACTATGCAGTCATAAAAAAGAATTAGTTCATGTCCTTTGCAAGGACATGGATGAAGCTGGAAACCATCATTCTCAGCAAACTAACACAGGAACAGAAAACCAAACAGCACATGTTCTCACTCATAAGTGGGAGTTGAACAATGAGAACACATGGACACAGGGAGGGGAACATCACACACTGGGGCCTGTTGGGGGGTGGGGTCTAGGGGAGGGATAGCATTAGGAGTAATACCCAATGTAGATGACAGGTTGATGGGTGCAGCAAACCACCATGGCACGTGTATACCTGTGTAACAAACCTGAACGTTTTGCACCTGTATCCCAGAACTTAAAGTATAATAATGAAGAAAAAAAGAATAGGCTAAAAGTATCAACTTAAGGTCACACATTGAGTAAGTTACAGAACTGGAAATAAATTCCAGACCTCTTTTTTGGTTCTCTACTTTAAGTAAGAGGCTAAAATCTTTTTATAAAAAACCTATTTGTATTTTTGAATCTAGACTATTTCTGCATTTTGTGGTTATTCTACAGAAGGAACAGGTGAATTTACTGTTTTTCCCATTAATATATTTTTAGTCAAATTTGATGTTCTCTTTTCCAGCTGTTTACCTAAATTCATTGCTGTAGAATTATCTTAGTGCTAGGAAATCAATTTTAATATTGTCTCTATAATTTTTCTTTAGTACTTCCTGAGGTTTTTGAATTTATATGTTTTGAGTATTTTCTACGTGCATTTTTAAATGATATTTAAATGACAGCCTAAAATTCTTGATGCTATTCTTTTAGTTTAATCAGTCAAGTTGAAATAATGCAGATTAATTCACTAAAGTGACAGGGACTCTGATATACTGGATTATGTAGATTAGTAAGCAAGCAATTACACACATAATAAAAAATTAAGGAAAATGAGACATAAATGTATTTTTTTTACTTATTTAGACAACTACGGTTTAAATGATATATGAGATACTTCACATTATGTTAATGACTAGCTGCTAGTATACTATGAAATAGAATTTTGAGATTTAAATATGTAACTAAAATCCTGTGTTAATATATATTTTCTGAGAGTACATTGAGATGCTAGAGTTTTGTGAGAAATTAGCAAATAACAAATGGTATATAGGTTACTTTCCATAAATAGAATTTGTTTTAAAGTGTGATGTGTCCCTTTGGCATATCTGATTTCTTTAACATTTCTGTGTCCCAGAAAAGTCTAGTAAGTCTTCTGAACTTCTATTTGATTTTTTTACTATATTCCTCTGACAACTTTGCGTGATAGAGATATGTAATGTTATTTTAAAAGTTAATACAGGCCTTATAAATCAAAGTTAAAGAATTGAGATTGTTACCTTAACATTTATTTTGTAAAAAGAGTTATTTAAAAATGAATTCTTAGCATCATAGGATTTCTACATTATTTTAAGCCATTAGTAAGAGTCATGCTAATATTAATTAACTGGTTTTGCAAGAAAATTGGGATGTCAAAATTGACTTTTTATTTTTTATTGGTAAACATATGTATATTTCAAAACAAAGTTCTGAAAGTTCCACTAATATGAAATCTAATAAAATAATAATCTGACCAATTATAGAATTAGAGGTGGAAGACATACAAAATATTAATTACTTATTTCATTTGTATTTTTTCTTTGCTTATGAAAGTTAGATTGATTTTGACAGTTAACCAATGGTGCCCACTAAGAATGAAATGATTTATTTATTTATTTACATGTAAGGTCTTGTTCTGTTGCCCAGGCTGGAGTGCAGCAACTCAATCACTGCTCACTGCGGCCTCAACTTCCCAAGTGATCCTGCCACCCCAGCCTCCAGAGTAGCTGGTACTACAAGCATGTGCCAATACACTCGGCTAATTTTTGTATTTTTTGTAGAGACGAGATTTTGCCATGTTGCCATGACATATCTGGAACTCCTGGGTTCAAGCAATCCACCTGCCTTGGCCTCCCAAATTGCTGCAATTACAGGTGTGGGCCACTACGCCTGACCCAAGGTGTATTAAAATTTAAGTATTTTAGCTACAAACACACATGATAATTTATTTTATTTGGCATTAAAATACTCCTTTTCCAAAACCATTTATCTCCTTCCTCAAATAACGGATATGTACACACACAGTTACTCTAAAACACAAAATAAAACAGAAAATAAAGTAAAATATTTTAAGTATACAAGATAGTTTTTTTCAGTAATTATTCTTTGAGGTCCCATTCAAATCTGATTTTTTTTCTGCATTAGATTTTGTTTATGTGGCCCATAAAAAAATTATAATTAGAACAGCTATTGTACTGAGAAATAAAGTGCATTGGGTCAGTGTCTTTTTCTGCTTGGGCTGCCACAACAAAGTACCATAGACTGTGTGGCCTAAACAACAAAAATTTATTTTTTTACAATTTTAGAAGTTAGACGTCCAGAATCAAGGTGCTTCCAGGTTTGATTACTTCTAAGACTTTTCTTCTTGGCTTGCGGATAGATGGCCATCTTCTTAGGTTATCCTCTCATAGCTTTTTCCTTTATACAAGCTCATGTTGGTGTAGCCTCTCCATGCATCCAAATTTTCTTCTCTTAGATGGACACCTGTCATATTGGATTAGAGTCCACCTTAAATCCTTCATTTTAACTTAATTACATCTTTAAGGAACTTGTGTCCAAATACAGTCACATTTCAAGTTACTGAGGGTTAGAATCCAAATATGTGAATTTGGGGAGAATGCAATTTGACCTATAGTGATACATCAGAAAATAATCAATTATATGAAATAATTTGTAAAGCAAAGAATACTGAAGAAATTTTTGTTTTCTCCTATTTAAAAATTTACATCTATTGAATACCTAAGCCCACAGGGTGCACTGGCTCGCTTGACTCCTTATGTGATGACAACATTGACACATTTACCTTCCCAATTTTTTTCTTTCTATCTCTGTAAATACGGACAAAAAAAAAACTTCAGTGAACCAAGACTGTTTTAGATTCTAGAGATAAAACTGTGAGCAAATTATATACATCCACAGGCTGCAGTGTGCTTACACTTCATGATGTGCATGCCATGACATGTATTTTACAATTACAAAAATAAAACATATTATTAATATTAAAACAGTGGCAAATGCTAATGAGAAAAATGAAGGTAAAATGCCTAAGTATAAACTCTGACCATTTTAGGTACTAAGGCAATTTTTCCTAGAGAAATAACATTAAAATTGTAATCTGAAGGATAAATATGAATAAATGCCATTTTCAAAATGTATAACCTAGAAGGGCTAAGGAACTGAATAAAGAACAGCTACAGTTAAGAATAGTGGGATTGGCCGGGCGCAGTGGCTCATGCCTGTAATCCCAGCACTTTGGGAGCCTGAGGCGGAAGGATCATGAGGTCAGGAGTTCGAAACCAACCTGATCAACATGGTGAAACCCTGTCTCTACTAAAAATACAAAATTTAGCCAGGTGTGGTGGTACGCGCTTGTAATCCGAGCTACTCAGGAGGCTGAGGCAGGAGAATCACTTGAACCCAGGAGGTTGCAGTGAGCCAAGATCACGCCATTGCACTCCAGCCTGGGCAACAGTGTGAGATTACGCCTCAAAAAAAAAAAAAAAAAAAGAGTAGCGGGATTTGAGTTAATAATTCCATGATTTAATAAATAATCTGAAAATCAATTAGAAAGCACCATATTAGCATTTTTTACTTTATGGAATAGGATATTTTATCAATATCATTGTAATCAAAATGATTTTATACTGGTGCATTAACGATCTTTGGTCTCAGGCAGATATTAAATTGAAATTTTTAGCCAAAAGAGTGAAAGCAAAAGTTTCTAAACATAGAATGTAATATAGAAAGCATTATAGAACTAAGAAAGTAACATTTATACTGAGCATATTTAGAAAACAGCACATGAAATTACATTTAGCCATTTTTCTGATATTATTTATATATATGTACTGTCTAATTTCTCAGTACCAAAATTGACAGTATTGATGTATATTGTCTCTAATACCCATTTAAATCTAATAATGGATGAATCAAGCATCATGTTGTGGTTCAAGCAGGTATTATATGCAATTACAACAACTTAAAAGATTTATTGCAGAACAACCAATAAAATAAGTAGAAAAATTATATCGCTGATATGCTAAGAAAGGAGAAAAAAATAGAATCACTTAAAATGCTCAGTTGAAATCACAAAGTACAGAAAAAGAGTGGAAGACAAAATAGGAAAAAATTAGGGCAAAAAAATAGAAAACAGGAACAAATATAGTTAATATTAATCCAACTATATCAATAATCACATTGAATATTAGTGGTCTAAATGCACAAGTTAAAAGACAGAGATTGTCAGAGTGATTCAAAAAACAAACCTCCTAAATGTTGTCTACAAAGAAACAGCTAAATATAAAGACATATAGAGTAAAAGCAAGTAGATAGAGAAAATATACCATGCTAACACTAGTAAAAGCAAAGCACAGGTAGTTAATTCAATTTCAAGCAGAACAAATTTTCAAGCAAGGAGAGTCACCAGGAACATAGAACAAAATTATATAAAGATAATGGGGTCAATTCTACAAGAAGACATAACAATCTTTAAAATATATACAGCTAACAACAGAGTGTCAAACTTTGTGAGTCAAAAACTAATAGAAGTGCAAGCAAAAGTAGATGAATCCACTTACATAGTTGGAGACTTTAATACCCTTCTCTCGGAAATGGAAATATCCATTAGGCAGAAAAATCAGTAAGGACATAGTTGAACTCACTAACACCATTAATTAGCTGGATGTAATTTAAATCTATATAGACTACTCTGTCCAATAACAAGAAGGTACACATTTTTTTTTGAACTCACAAACAACATTTACCAAGGTAGGCTATAAAACACACCCCAACAAAATTAAAGGAACAGAAATACAACATCTGTTATAAAACCACAATGAGATTAAACTAGAAATCAAAATACATAGAGATTAAACAACATGCTTCTAAGTAGCCTATGGGTCAAAGATGAAATCTCAAAATAAATTTAAAAATATTTTTAACTGAATGAAAGTGGAAATGAAACATCAATTTTGTAGGATGCAGCCAGTTTTAGTCCATTCTGCCTTACTACGAAGAAATACCTGAGATCGGGTAATTTATAAAGAAAAGAGGTTTATTCAATTCACTATTCTGCATGCTGTACAAAATTCATGGCACCAGCATCTGCTTCTGGTAAGGAATGCAGGAAGCTTCCACTCATGGCAGAAGGGAAAAGGGAGTAAGCATCACATGGTGAGCGGAAGGAAGCAAGAGAGAGTGGTGACAAAGGGCCAGGCTCTTTTTAATAATTTAACATGGGAACCATTAGATCAAGAACTCACTCATGACCACAAGAATGGAACTAAGTCATCCATAAGAGATCCACTTCCATGACCAAAACAGCTCCCACTAGTTCCACCTCCAACACTGGGATAAAATATTAACATGAGACTTGGAGGAGACAAACATATCCAAACTATATCAGAGCCAAAACAATGCTTAGAGGGAAATTTATAGTATCAAATGCATATATCAGAAAAGAAGAAAGATCTAAAATCAATAATTTGTTTTCACCTTAGGATATTTGAAAAAGAGGAGCAAATTAAATCCAAAGTCCTAAAAGAAAAATTTTAGACAAATTAAATTTAGCAGGATTTATTTAAGCAAAGAACAATTAGAAATTAGGCAGAATTCAAAGCCAGAAGAGATTTAAAGAGCTCCACACAGGCATTAGACCAGAGAGTTTTTATAACTGGAGCACAAAACAAAGTAGAAACATTATCTGACTACAGCAAGCTATCTGCCTTATTTGGGCATGGTGAGATAAGCCATTTGCCTTACTTGGACATAGTGTGATGAGTTGACCCTTTGTGATTGACTGAAATTCAGCTGTTATATTTCTAACTTTAGGTTTTGGTTTGTGTATGTACTAAGTTACATTGTGGTTTGTTATACAGAAACTCAGTATAAAGACAGCCTCAGGCTAACAACCTCCAGTTTATTCAGTTTAACAAAAGTAAGGAGAAGATTCATCATAATTAGACCAGAAATCAATTAAGTTGAGCAAAGAAAACCAAAAAGATAATCAATGAAACCAAAACTGTTTTTTTAAATAAAGATCAATAAGTTAGTAAGGCTCTAGCCAGACTAAGTAAAACAGAATGAGGACTCAAATTATTTATATTAGAAATAAAGGAGGGAGCATCACCATGGAGCCTATGGACATTAAAAGGATAATAAAGAAATACTAGGAATAACTATGCTCACAAATTTGATACTCAGTATGAAATGAAACAATTGCTTGAAAGGTACAATTTGCTAAAACTCATGCAAGAAAAAATAAACAATCGAATGGGATTATATGTGTTACAGAAATTGAATCAATAATTCAAAGCTCCAAAATAGAAAGCTTCAGAAACAAATAGTTTCACTGGTGAATTCTAACAAAAACTCAAGAAAAATATTATACCAATTATCTAAAATCTCTTCAGAGAACAGAAGCATAGGAAATACTTCCTAACTTACTCTAGGAGGCTAGCATCCCAAATGTCATAATTAAACAAAAACATTACAAGAAAAAAAACTACAAACTAATATCTCTCATGAACATAGATACAACTATCCTCAAGAAGATATTAGAAAATAGAATCCAACAATGAGTAAAAATAATTATACACTATAGCCAAGTAGGATTTATCCCAGGTATGCAGAATTCATTGAACTTTCCAAAATCAATTAATGTAATACAGCACATCAACAGACTAAAAAACGAAAATCACATGATCACATCAATAGATGCAGTTTATTTGACAAAACTCAACACACATTCATAATAAAAACTCTCTGTATTGAGAAATAGAGAGAAACTTCCTCAACTTGATAAAGAACATCCACAAAATACCTACAGCTAGCATTATTTATAATGGTGAGATATTTTCTAATATCAAAAACAAGGAAAAAATACCACTTCTCCCTACTCCTTTCTAACATCATACTGTTAGTATTAACTAATGAAATAAGACCAAAAAATAAAATGAAAAGGTGTACAAATTGGAGGGAAACTAATAAAACTGCCTTTGTTTCAATATGTCTAATAATCTATGGAGAAACAACTTCCTTTGTTTGAAGATGTCTAATAATCTATGTAGAAAACTTGAAAGAAAAAGCTTGAAAGAACAACCACAAACAAAACCCTTCTGCAACTAAAAAGCATATAACAAAGTTGCTGGATACAAGGTTAATATACCAAAGCTAATCACTTTCCTATATACCAGAGGTGAAAAGTACCAGCAGTGAGAAAGTACATTTTTTACTTGAAAACAGAAAATATTTTTATTAACACCCTAAAAAAGAAATAATTCAGTATGTATTTAACAATGTGTATACAAGATTTATAATCAAAGAACTAGTCCATATTTATGGTTTGGATCACTCAATATTGTTAAGATGTCAGTTTTCCCCAATTTGATGTATAGATTCAATACAATCTCAAAATCTCATCAAGTTATTTTGTGGATATCAGCAAACTTATCCTAAAGTTAATAGGGAAAAACAAAATACCGAGAATAGCCAACAGAATGTTAAAGGAGAACAAGGTTATAGGACTAACTACCTGACTTTAAGACTTACTGTAAAATGACAGTAATCAGGACAGTGAGGTAATGAAGAAATAATAGATAAACGGATAATATAATTGAATACAAGGCCCATAAATGTAGTCAACTGCTCTTTCACAAGGGAAAAAAGACAATACAATAGAGCAAAAATAATCTTTTCAGCAAAAGATTATTGCTGAAAAAAAGCTGTTGGTGAGACAACTGGACATACACATGCAAACAATAAATAAATAAATCTGGACAAAGACCTTACATTTTTTACAAAAAATTAACTCAAAATGGGTCATGGACCCAAATGTAAACTAAAAACCCTAAAACTCCTGAAAGATAGCATAGGGGAAAACTTAGATGACCGTGGATATGGCAAAACTTTAGGTAAAACAAAGTCACAATCCATAAGGTAAATAATTGATAAACTGGATCTTATAAAAATTTTAAAATTCTGCTTTTTGAAAGACAATGTCAATAGAATGAAAGGACAATCCAGAGACTGGAAGAATATTTTTGTAAAACACATATAAAGGACTGTTATCCATAATTTACAAAGAACTTTTATAACCCAACAATAGAAAACAACATGATTAAACATTGGCCAAAGACCTTAACAGACACCTCACCAAAGAAGATATATAGATGGCAAATAAGCATATAAAAACATGGTCCACCTCACGTGTCAACAGGAAAATGCAAATTACAAAAACAGTGAGCTACCTCTATACAACCATTAGAATGGCCAAAATCCAAAACAATGACAACACATGCTTGAAAGGATATAGAAGAGAGGAACTCTTATTCATTGCTGATAGAAATATGTTCACTTTGGAAATCTGGCAGTTTCTTATAAAAGTAAACATACTCATACTCATACATGATCCAGCAATTGCATTTCTTGATATTTACCTAAAGGGGTTGAAAACATGTCCACATAAAAACCAGAACATGGATGTTTATAGTAGCTTCATTCATAATTGCCAAAACATGGAAGCAACTACAATGTCATTTTCTAGGTAAATTCATTAGTAAACTGCGGTGCATTCAGACAATGAAATATTATTAAGTACTAAAAGTAAATGAGCTATCAAACCATGAAAAGACATGGAGGAATCTTAACTGCATTACTAAGTGAAAGAAGCCAATCTGCAAAGGCTGCATACTGTATGATGCCAACTACATGATGTTCTGGAATAGTCAAAACTATGCAGACATTTAAAAGATTACAGTTGTAAAGGGTTGGGTGTGGGGAGCGATGAATCAATCGGTGGAGGACGGAGAATTTTTAGGGCAATGATTATACTCTATATGATACTACTAAAAAGGGTGCCTGTCATTATACATTTGTCCAAACCCTAAAATGTACAACACCAAGAGTGAACCATAGTGTAAACTATGGGCTTTGGTTGATTATGGTGTGTCAATGTAGGTTCGTCAACTATAAAAAATGTACCAGTTTGATGACAGATGTTGATGATGGAAAAGTTATGTATTTGCGGAAGCAGAGTGGGTATATGGGAAATTTCTGTATCTTCTTCTTAATTTTGGTGAGAATTTAAAAAGTGCTTTAAAAATAAGTCTTTTTTTTTTTTTTTTTTTTTTTTTTGAGACGGAGCTTCGCTCTTATTGCCCAGGCTGGAGTGCAGTGGAGCGATCCCGACTCACCGCAACCTCCGCCTCCCGGTTCAAGGCAATTCTCCTGCCTCAGCCTTCCTGAGTAGCTGAGATTACAGGCATGAGCCACCATGCCCGGCTAGTTTTGTATTTTTAGTAGAGACGGAGTTTCTCCATGTCGGTCAGGCTGGTCTCGAATTCCCGACCTCAGATGATCTGCCCGCCTCAGCCTCCCAAAGTGCTGGGATTACAGGCATAAGCCACTAAGCCCGGCCAAGTCATAAAAATTTTAAAAAACTTTATTGCACACATATTTCAGGACTACTTATGCTGCATGTGAGCTCTTAAATAATGGATTTCTTTATATGTATTCAGGTTTAGTTTGGCACTAAAATTGGGTAAAAATAAAAAATGATTTACAAGTTGATCCTAGCAAAATAAAAAAAGGCAATAAAATGGGGGTATTTATTATTAAGCGATTTATTTTAGTATAAAAACTGGGAAGGAAGGGGATTAAGCAGCTGACCTGTGGTTCATTTATTCCCAGTTAGGTGAAGAGGCACTCTCAGGGGAAAGAAAATACAGTGGTCTAGTCCAATGCTGCTGTAGCCTGATAACTGGACTTCAAGGTAAACAATATTTTCTAGGAGATAGTCTGTATCTATGAAATATTCCAACTAATATGTTCATGGTTTATGATTGTTTATCTTTTTAATTTAAGAGGTACATGTGCAGGTTTGTTATATAAGTAAACTCGTGTCATGGGGGTTTGTTAATACAGATTATTTCATCACTCAGGTATTAAGCCTAATACTCATTAGTTATTTTTCCTGATCCTCTCCCTGCTCCCACTGTCCACCCTCTGATGGGCCTCATTGTGTGTTTTTCCCCTCTACGTGTCCATGTGTTCTCATCATTTAGTTCCACTTATAAGTGAAACCATGCAGTACATGGTTTTCTGTTCCTGTATTACTTTGCTAAGGATAACGGCCTCCAGCTCCATCCATGTCCCTGCAAAGGACATGATCTCATTCTTTTTTTTATGGCTGCATAGTATTCCATGGTGTAGATGTATTGTGATACATTTTCTTTATCCAGTCTATCATTGACCAGTGTTTAGGCTGATTCCATATCTTTGCTGTAGTGAATAGCGCTGCAATGAACATATGTGTGCACGTGTCTTTATAACAGAATGATTTATATTCCTTTGGGTATATACCTAGTAATGGGATTGCTGAGATGAATGGTATTTCTGTCTTTAAGTCTCAGAAGAACCACCACACTGTCTTCTACAATGGTTGAACTAATTTACTCTCTGACCAATAGTGGATAAGCATTCCTTTTTCCCCACAGCCTGCATCTGTTATTTTGACTTTTTAATAATAGTTATTCTCACTGGTGTGAGATATCTCATTGTTGTTTTGATTTGCATTTCTCAAATGATCAGTGATGTTGAGCTTTTATTTATATGATTGTTGGCCACATGTTGTCTTCTTTTAAGAAATGTCTATTCATGTCCTTTGCCCACTTTTAAATGGGGGTTTCTGTTTTGGGCTTCAAATTTAAGTTCCTTATAGATGCTGTATATTAGACCTTTGTCAAGTGCATTGCATGCAAATGTAGAAATATTTTCTACCATTCTGTAGGATGTCTGCTCATTCTGTTGATAGTTTGCTTTGCTGTGCAGAAGCTCTTTAGTTTAATTAGATCTCATTTGTCAGTTTTTGCTTTTGTTGCAATTGCTTCTGGCATCCTTGTCATGATTTCTTTCCCATTTCTATTTCCAGAGTGGTATGGTATTGCCTAGGTTGTTTTCCAGAGTGTTTTTTTAGTTTTGGGTTTTACATTTAAATCTTTAATCCATCTTGAGTTAATTTTTGTATATGGTGTAACAAAGGTGTCCAGTTTCAAACCTCTGCATATGGCTAGCCAGTTATCCCAGCACCATTTATTGAATAGAGAAACCTTTCCTCATTGCTTGATTTTGTCAGGTTTGTTAAAGACCAGATAGTTGTAGGTATGCAGTTGTATTTCTGGGTTTTCTATTCTGTTCCATTAGTATATGTGTCTATTCTTTAAACAGCAGTACCATGCTGTTTAGGTTACTGTAGCCCTGTAGTATAGTTTAAAGTCAGGTAGCACGATGCCTCCAGCTTTGTTCTTTTAGCTTAGGATTGGCTTGGCTATTTGGGCTCATTTTTGGTTCCATAAAAATTTTAAAATAGTTTTCTCTAGTTCAGTGAAGAACACCAATGGTGGTTTAATAGGAATAGCATTAAATCTACAAATGTTAATAATATTTGGGCAGTATGGCCATTTTAATAACATTGATTCTTCCTATCCATGAGCATGGAATGTTTTTCCATTTGTTTGTGTCATCCGTGATTTTGTTGAGCAGTAGTTTGTAGTACTCCTTGCAGAGGTCTTTTACCTCTCAAGTTAGCTGTATTCCTAGGTACTTTATTCTTTCTGTGGCCATTGTACATGGTAGTATGCTTCTGATTTGGCTCTTGGCTTGACTTTTGTTGGTGTATAAAAACGTTAGTGGCTTTTGCACATTGATTTTGTATCCCAAGACTTTGCTGTAGTTGTTTACCAGCCTAAGGAGCTTTTGAGCTGAGACTATGGGATTTTCTAGATATAGAATCATGTCTTCCAGAAACTGGGATAGTTTAACTTCTTCTCTTCCTATCTGGATGCTCTTTGTTTCTTTCTCTTGCCTTATTGTCCAGGCCAGGCCTCCAATACTATGTTGAATACGAGTGGTGAGAGAGGGCATTCTTGTCTTGGGCCGGTTTTCCTGTTTCTCACAAATAGACCTGCAATCTATGCACATTTCTAGAGCAAATGTTATGTAACTAGTCAATTTGCTGGATTGAAATGGAGAGGTCTTATTACATAAATTTTCCTGCTGTCTGAGTTGATTCAGGATCTCATTAAAAACTTTGCTTACTGTTCCTTCCCAGAGAACACATGTCCAGCACAGAAGGAAGGAGACATCTGAGACGTGCCAGACCTCTCTTCTTTACCTGTGTCTATTTGTTTTTTGAAACCTTGAAATTAATAATCAAATTTTACTTTGGTAAAATTGTTCCTTTGTGTGGATTTGATTTGGCAAGCTAGTCTTTTAACTGGTTTTAACTCAACATACATAAACACAAGCAAACACATTTATATAGTTTTGAATTCTATATCCAGTCTACATAAATATGAAGTCTTAAATTTGCTCTTGAATTTGTTTCACATTTAATAAAATATTTTTTGAGGTTTAACTTGTGTATGCTGAGATCTTTAATTCAGCTTGATGAATTTTGACAAACATATACGGTGTAGAGTAAGATATAAAAAATTCTACTACCACAGAAATTTATCTTCTGTTTTTTACAGTCAAACATTATCCCTTCCCAACAAATAGCAAGTGCTATTCTTATTTTAATTCTACCACACATTAATTAATTTTGCCTGTTCTTACATGAAAGAATGTTGAATTTTGTCCTGACAGATAAATTACTAGAGGATTACCTTGATCTGGTGGAGGCTTGGCTTTTGGTTTTATAAAGAAAGCTTGTGGAGACTGGTCTTTTGTTCTACAGCAAAACCTTTGGTTCAGAGATCACTCCTAGAATATGTAATCCTTGCTTTTAACTGGGAAGCCAGAGATTTTGTAACAAACCCTTCCTTTGGCTGGGATTTGAACTTCTCAAATTATTTTTTCTCTGCACAGGTTATGACTAAAAAGTTATATCTCAGCTGCTATTCCTGGATTCCTTGGATTTTTGACACTTGCATGAATAGTAAAAGAGTACAAAATAGAGTCGAGAAACTTTTATGTATCTACTCTTTGTGACTCTCTTCTGTCTTGAGGGAAGAAAGAGATGGAGAATTGGGAATCTTCTCTCAATTTACATCACTTCTGACAACCTTAAAAATTGACCTAATATTATTCCTACATCTTAATAAAAGTATTATTTTCTATTTTTCTTTATACCGCAATATAAAGCCCTATAACCTGGAAAGTATTCTCAGGAGAGACTAGTTATGTATGACACATCAGAGTTTGCTTATCTTTTTTCAGTGTTGTATCCCTATAGTTCCTTCCTGTAGGGTCTCCTTAAATAGTTACTTTTTATGTTGTATCTAGAGTTGGTTATTGTTATCAGCTCAGTACATATTCAATACAAGCATGTCTGGCATGATCAGAACTCCTAAATTATGTTTCTTAACTTAGAGTTCAAAGAAAATGTGTATGCAAAATATAAAATAATGTATGTGTTTAAAATATATCTGCCAAATAAATATTTTAGATTTGCAAATTTCAGGGTAACTCATTAGCTTTCTCATTTTCTGCTCTAATTAAAAAAAATGTGAGATGTATATTTTGTCACCAAAGTCTTCACCATTTGCTTACCATGTATGATATGCATACATACCTATGGGGAAGAATTAAATAGCAATAATCATAATCATAAAACAATTGTGATTACATGAAACGTGAAAGCTGTTTCATAAATTTTGGAAATGACACTATTGTCTAAATGAGGAATCAAGATATCAAGGGTTATTTGGGGATTATGATGTTTAAAAATTTTACCTCTAGGCTCTTCAGTAAAATGACTTTTTGCTCATAGCAGGATGAGTATGTACACATTTTTTTAAATTCTCATTTTTATTAGTTGTTATTTTTGCCTTTATTTTCTCAGGATTGATTATATTAAACACTAAGAGCATTTGTAGACAATTATTTGATTTTTCATGAAATAATTTATATAATTTAATTTCTCTTTGCATATTCCAAAAGGCAAATCCTGATAATTTTAGGATGTTTTCATCAGTCAGAGCTGACAAAGCCTTAATCCTCAGGAAAAGCTGTTGTAAGAACTGAACAGTAGATAAATAAATATTAAATAAATATATTGAAATTATTATGGGTAGTATTGTATTTGCAGTTTTTAAAAAAAACGAAAAAATTGAGAGTCACATTGAATAATTTCTAGCTTCTTGAAAATAAGAAGAAACAGGGGAGGCAAAGGCACTAGAGTTCACGGAATAGAGTACAGGCAGAACGTAGCTGCAGAGACCTCTACATTCCTGTGTCTGGTTTCTGGACTTTTAAACTGGGTTTCAGTTAGTGTGTGAATATGAGGATTCTACCAAGGACAGGGAAAGAACGATCTAAAAGGACTAGGGGGAACACTTCCCAGATCCCACCAGGGATGGAATTATTGATATTTTCATTAGCCAGTCTAGAAAAATCTCATAATTTATGGGCCATCAGGTAGAGAAATCAGGATTTTGCCACAACAGTGATTCAACATTTGCCTTAGTCAATGCCTCTAGGATTTTGCTAAAATATAATCTTAAATGCAAAACCCCAAAAGATTAAACCGTCTCCAAAGAACTCAACTGCATCCCAGAACAAAGCATATGTATATTTATAGGAACATTAAGATATCTAATTGCCAACAAGGCAAAATTTGCAATGTATGGAATACTATCAAAAATTACTGGACTTGGATTGAGGCAGGAAAAGTATCAATCAGTGGAAACTGAACCAGGAATGAAACACATGATAGAATAAGTGAACAACTGCATTAAACCAATTAGAACTACATTCTTTATAGTCAAGAGGTTTAAGGGAAAGCTTGACCATGTTAGGCAGAGTCATGAAAGATATAAGACATAAGTATTCTAAAAACCAAAATACAAGGACAGAGATAAAAATACACAGTATGGAATTGATAATTTTGATATCATGCTAGTAAAGATTAGTGAATTTGAAAAGATGTTAGAATATACATTATATATTATAATATAGCTTATATAATCTAATACTATATTCTTATATATAGAAACACAGGTGTATTAGGGACCACTCTTGATTTTGGATATTTGCAGTTTTATAGGTATAATAATAGATATCTTCTGAGAATATTGTTATGCAAGATTTTTGAAAGATCTTGTCTAAATAAAAAGTAGCAAATCATGATATCTGAAGAGTATACACGTTTTATATGACATAATGTTACAAGTATATTTAATTAATAAATATTGTATATATTCAAAGTGAATGATGGGATGCTTTATATCTTATAAATGTATTAGTTTACTAAAACTTATGGCTCACAGCTTAGGCCTTCCAGATAACAATGGCAGACAGATGCAACAAAGAAGGTCCAAGAGTTGGTAGAATCTTTCTGATATGCTATCTTCTGTGCAAACGGAGAAACATTACTTCAGTTTTACTTTAAAATGAATTTGGCATACTGATAGAGGATTATACTTAGCTCTCACTAGCATTAAGTAGTAAATAAATTTTATTGTTCACCATTTTCATACATAAAGTTTTGCCAGCAAGTACTAATTACTTTTTAGGTTTCCTGTATTGATAAAATTTTATGAAAGATACTAGAATGAAATACATTCACAATTATAATTTTAAAAAACATAAGCAATGCAAATTCCCAGAGTATATTCTGGATCCTTTAGTGTTTCTGACAATTTCACATTATTGTTTAACACTAAAGTGCAGTATAGTAAACACTGAGTTTAAAATAACAGACCAAATTATTACAAGGTATGCAATCATCAGATAATTATGAATATTATTTGTTGTAAGCCTATATGTTGTAAATTCATTTTAAGATTTAGAGTATCGCATTTCAGAAATGTTGCTGCTAATAAATGCATCATAAAAATGGATTTTTGATTAGTTTCAATTAAGATGGCATAGTTAATAATCAACATCGGCAAACCTAAATCAAAAATTGTGTTATATGAGTCTCTCATTCCTGACTGATGTCAGTTAGAATCATAGAATGTTGGGTTTCTTACAAAGTTCAAAGTAAGCTTAATGAAATATTAAATAACAATTTTGTGTTCATTGTGAAATGTCTCTGTTGAATGTTTTTCATAAAAAATAAGGCATTCAGCGGAGAATATATGTACATATACACACACACTAAACATATATTCACATATATACACACACATATTCACACATACACACATATACATAATATGAAATATGGTTATATCATAAAAAACAAAAACTCCTACTTATTTAATAAGTTAACCTAATAAAACCTTGTAAATCTTGACACTGTGACAACACTCAGTTTTGGACATGCCACATCGTGTGATATTTTTCAATTAGTCCCCATTATTATTTTTGGAATATTTCCATTAAAATATAGGTCTTTAACCCATCTTATTCAGGCCATCACATATGGGAATATCTAAACTTTCTTTTACATTCTATAAAAATAACAAAATAATAGTTCCACACCACAGTATTCATAAAATGTTTGCATTATGTAGAAGAATTCTGTTACAACAAACACTTTCTGCATAATCAAGAAGAGTAGTCATTACCAGGATGTCATCCCATTTAGGAAATACATTATAGAAATTAATAAATGCTATAAAATGATCTAATTTATATTTATCAATTTATTTAATTTCTTAATTTTTATAAATTATTGATAACTTTATTTTTAATTCATGCTGCCTACATATAGGCATATGATTATTTAAGTGCATAATTTTCAATTTTGTTTATTAAGAAGGGACCCAGAAATCTTGGTAATTCTTGGATCTATTAAATAAAAATAAATAAGAAACGCCATAATAAATGACATATTGTATTTACACCAAATTTTAAAGGGACAGACTATAAAATGGACCAGGCATGAGAAAGTATATTGAGAAAACTTGAGTTAAGTTAAACTCCTAACAATTAGCATGTCATTCTTGAAAAGGAGAAAAATATGAATATTTGTCATGTAAAATAAATATCTATATTTTGGGAAATGTGTTTCCATAGAGTCACTAAAAGAAACACCGCTGAGTTGAAGCTTAAAAAAAATAGCAGAATTGAATGAGCCAGATTGTTGTTCTTTAAAATTGTCTTATTTTCAATAGAGGAGAGTTAAAAACTAATATAAAGAAATATAGAAAAAAAAGAAAAAGAATAAAGTGGTAGAAATAACTATGGAATATAACAATTTTAGACGAAAAACACATGGATGAAAATAGCATATCAAAGTAAAGTCAAACATTTGAAGACCTCTATGTTTTTATGAATACTATTCACATTTTTTTTTATTATACTTTAAGTTCTAAGGCACATGTGCACAATGTGTGGGTTTGTTACATATGTATACATGCTCCATGTTGTGCGCTGCACCCATTAACTCGTCATTTTCATTAGGTATATCTCCTAATGCTATCCCTCCCCACTCCCCCCACCCCACAACAGGCCCCGGCGTGTGATGTTCCCCATCCTGTGTCCAAGTGTTCTCATTATTCAATTCCCACCTATGAGTGAGAACATGCGATGTTTGGTTTTCTGTCCTCGCGACAGTTTGCTCAGAATGATGGTTTATTGTGTTTTGCTTAGTAACATTATTTTCATTTGCTAATATTAATTATTGTAAATGTTTTAAATACATTTAACAACAACCAATAGATAAATTTCTCCATTTCATTTTTATTGTATACATCATAGAGTGGTATACTGGAACTACTTGTTATTGCCTTGCAAAACCTGATTGTTAAATGTTCAGGTATTGTGGAAAGGTGAGTAACAACCGCCATAAAAATTGGCTTGGAAATTGAAAAATCATGCAAATTGTTTTGGAGCTCCCCTGCCCCAAGAGCTGTTTATTTACTATTATGTAACAGCTCACTGATGATTATATGGTATTTTAAAATAATTTTTCTAAGAGATATAGATAAATAGATATGTACATGCATGTATACTTCGTAGCACATTGCTATAGAAATAAGGATAACACATCAGTTCATATATGTTGAAAGAGTAATCAGATTATTTATTCATTTAATATTTGAACTTCAATCTTTGTAGATCAAGTTCAGCATGCTAAACATAGATCTTATTCAGAATTATCTACTGTTTCTTAAATAATATTTGAAATTAAATTTATGTTTTAAATGGATTCAAAAACAAATTAAGAAATCAGGGCTTAGAGCAAGAAACTCAGTCATCATATAAATTTATTCATCTATTAAAATTACTCTAATATTATTTTTTCTGCTTAAGTGGTTTGAAATTTATGTCAGTTTCTAACATACTGTACAATTATTTTCTTTCTAATGCACCTGCATATTTTACTCTACAAAATGCATGGATTACTTTGTATTCAAGATATGCTGTTTTTATATTCCTATTATAAATGTTATGGGCACATCTATTTCATTTTTTTATCTTTCAAACAATAAGCACTTACATTCTTTGCTGTCATTGTATAAATAGTCTTTACTGAGAGTTTGTGCAAAGTTAAAGTCTTGTATAAGAGTACACTCCTAATTAGTGACTAAATAATCTGTCTTATTTATCAAAAGAATACTGTAGATTTTTTTCTAAAGCAATTAATGTATTTGGTGTTCTTAGTTTCTTAGAAATGGGTGCTAACACTGTATTTTTTAGAGTGTATAAATAAAATTATTTGATCTTTAAAAACCAAGTGGCTGAATCTGTACAGATATTAGTCAGTACTAATCATATAGTTAATATTTAAAATATATTAACTACAAAATGTATTTCTATCAGAAGTAAATTTATTATAAGTAAATGGATTATTCTTCTATTTAAATCCTTGTCAGTTAAAATTCATGTCTTATCTTTTTTTCAGCAAGTATGTATACCGTTTTCATTAGTAGAATTTATTTCTTACAATTTAGAGGTTGCTCTGAAGATATTGTATGCAAACGAAAACGTACACAATTTTTTTTGTTATTCTACTGAGAGCAAGAAACTCAGTCATCATATAAATGATAAGTTTAATAGATTGATCATATAAATCTATTAAATTATAAATTCATAGATCCATTGCACTTACTGAAATAAACCAAAAATAGTTGATTCAGATGTGGGTCAAGGAGTACATCAACTGATGATCAAATATCCAAAATCTGTGAGTTCTGGGATCTAATATATAGCAAGGTGACTAGAGGTAACAATACTGTGTGGTATACTTAAAATGTGTCAATAGAATAGATTCTAAGTTATCACACAAATAAAAAAGGTATTTATCTTAGGTAATAGAAATGTTAATTATATTGATTCTGATGGTCGTTTCCCAATGAATAGAGCAAATCGTCAAGTTGTACACCTGAAATATCTACAATAATAATTTGATATATCTTATTATTATTTATTTTTGCATCAGATAAATTTTTTTAGTAAGAAAATGAAATCTGTATATTTAATCAAATACTTACATAAATGTCTACATAGACTGGCTATCATATATAGTAAGGGAGAAGAAGCAAATATCTTTGCCTAGTATATTAGTTCATTTTAACACTGCTGATAAAGACATACCCAAAACTGGGAACAAAAAGAGGTTTAATTGGACTTACAGTTCCACATGGCTTGGGGGGCCTCAGAATCATGGCGGGAGACAAAAGGCACTTCTTACATGGTGGCAGCAAAAGAAAAATAAGGAAGAAGCAAAAGTGGAGACCCCTGATAAACCCATCAGACCTCGTGAGACTTGTTCACTATCATGAGAATAGCATGGGAAAGACTAGCCCCCATGACTGAATTACCTCCCCCTGGTTTCCTCCCACAACACATGAGAATTCTGGGAGATACAATTCAAGTTGCGATTTCAGTGGGGACACAGTCAAACTATATTACCTGGTATCTGCTCATCATTTTTTTTTCTTTGTATACATTTGTATTTTAATTTTCCCCTGGGAAAGAAAGTAAATTATATATGTCTACCTTCTTGCCTATAACTCAATCTCAGATATATAAAATGTATAGAGTCATGTAGTTAGCAGAATTTCTGATCCTGGTAAAACCACATTTCATTTCTCAAAGTTGTATCAATTTTATAGATGTGCAAGGTCAGTTCAGTGTCCTCTAAAAGGTTCACCAACAGGTCCCAAATTCACAGGTATTTAGTTTCATCTTTAAATAATTTATCCCTTGTAATTTATTCCAATTTTCACTAGCTTCAATGTTCTCAATTTCATAGATTTTGTAAATCCACTTTTAACTTCTACCTTTTAAATGACATATTTTCAGCATTTAATAGCTTAGTCAATCATCCTTGACTCTAATTGATGCTTTTAATAGTGAAGGACTCTCATTCAGCCTGGGTGATTTCCTGTTTAACACAACAATTAACTTCCATTGGATTTCAAAAGAGCAATAGATGTTACTCACAATTACAAGAAATTTTATCTTTCTAGATAAAAGGTGAAAATATTTTTTACATGGTAAATTATTCATTTACTTATTGTGCTGTAATAAAGTTTGTCCTTAGTGGTTGGTGCATGCTTAGGAAACTGATAAACTAAATCCTCAATGTTTATAATCTATGTGTGACAGGTAGGTTCTTACCTGTAGAATCTGTATGCATTTTAAAAATTAATCTGTTCTTGTGAATTTTTAATAAAGAGTCTTTTTCATACTTTGGCTTCTAAAGTTGATGCAACTCACCTCTGACCTGGTGCTTTGCCTCCATGAACATCACAATGATGGTTAATTGTATGGCACAGGCAGGACAAGGAAGAAAAGCAAACATAGCAGTTGTATTTTTGTATTTTAGGGTTATTAAAATCTAAAAAAAAAAGTCTTGCATGTTCATTCTACTGCGCACTTAAGGCCTAGTTAGTATAATTTAATAAATTTATTATATGCAGACTTACTTATATTTAGGAAAGCATTGTTATATGTATTTAGGAAAAAAAAGAAGAGGGGGAGAAAAAAGAAAGAGATAGACACAGAAAAAGAGTGAGACAGACAGACACAGAAAGAATTCAAGATCCAAATTATTTCCTCCATTATCCTTGCAGTTTTCATTCAGGATGCTCTAATGACAAAAACTAATGTCAAGCCACATCTCAACAAGGGACTGTTTGGAGAGTCTTACTGAAGGATCATAAGGTAAGGTAAAAAACAATGAATTTGATGAGATGCAATAAATAGATAATTGCCACAGCACGTGGGGATTTTACATCGCCTAGTGGCACAATGGCCAATATGTAGTGTAGGTATAACAAATAACAGGTCAACTATTTCTAGACTGATATTGTTCTCAAACTACTATATCTGTGAAAGTAAGAAATGTATCAATATTGATTTAATTAATATTTATTTAAAGCTCACCATATGCTAGGCAGGATGCTATGTGCTAAGCATACAAAGTACCTGTCCTCAAGTAACTTTCATCCTATTGGAAAAACAAGAAAAAAAACAGGCTAGAGAGATAATGGCAATAGTTTCATAGGACAATGTGTCACTGAGAAATGAAGGGGAGTCTAAGTTTTTATAACAGATGATTGATGCATTAAGTCAAACTGGATGAGTGAAAATTAGTTGCGCAAAAATGAGGAAAGAAAATTTCAGGCAAAGAAAAAATATGTTCTTTATTTTCAAAAAGCCTCAGTTCCCTAATAAGCCATTGCAACATAAAAATCATCTTGATTTTTTGATAATTTTATGCTTACTATTTTTGTGCATTGACAGGTAAGATGATCTGTGTGAATATTGCTGTTGTATGTGTCTTTATGGATTTTGTTTCAAAGGTAACATTATAAATCAGCATAATTTATACTTTCTATCTTCTACCAAATTGCAAATATTTCTCTGACAAGAATTTCAAATATTAAACTGCAGGTGTATGTAAGAATGAACAGGCTATTCATTGTATTTTGATATACTAGGCTCTATTGACAAAGATAACTGCTATATGATCTTCTCAAATTTGAAAGTTAGTGGGAATGGGGAAGGATAATGTCAGCTTACATGCAGCTAACATTTATTCATATAGATTAAAACTGATTTATATATGTACATTTCATCTAGATGTGCTGTTTTAAATTCTTGTTCAAAAATGTTTTCAGGAGTATTTAATCTTAGAATAATGTGCTCTAGTCTGATAATGTTTAGGGTAAGGTATTTTTGAGTTACTAGATTAGAAATAAATATACAGTTCAGTGACAAATTTATCTTGGAGAATGTTTCAGATTTACTTCTTTATTAAAAGATATCAGGAGTAAATTTATGCTTCTAATGACTGGCATTAAAAATATATGAGCCAATTAGCAATCTTCTCCAATTCTAATACAGTAGTAACTTTGAAAGCATCACACTGGTAAATATTGGCCTGGTTTTTTGTAAAGGGATTCTGTGTAAAATATTTTAAATATTTGAGCTTTGCATGCACTTGGCCTGCTGATACTGGCTTTTCAGGGCTTTCTCATCTACTTGACACTTTGAAAACAAATACCCTCTGCTTCTCCTCATTTGAATGAGCCTAGGCCTAGTAAAGCCAAGCTGTGAATCACTAGGAACCAAAAAACTGACAGCAATAGTTGGTCCTAATAGGACACTCGTTCCCATCATATCTTCTCCTTTGAGGAAAAGAGATGGATACAGAGGCCAGATCTTTCTTTCTTTCTTTCCTTCCTTCCTTCCTTCCTTCCTTCCTTCTTGCTTTCTTGCTTTCTTGCTTTCTTGCTTTCTCTGCTGCTTCCCAAATTATATGTTGTAGCTTGAAGAGCATGGATGTTATGTGTGCCCTTTTTAAATTGTTCTTAAAAAAACAGTGAAGGAAAGGAAGTATCTGACTTATTCCCAGTGCTGAAAAGGGAAGAGCCTGTTCAAAGATGTGCACCCAGTTTACAAAAAAGCCATGGAATCATGTTCCGGGGAAGTCAAGACTCAGTCTTACATCCCTATCAGATTAGATCCCCATCACTGGAAATTGGGAGACTGTTGGTGCATATATATCACTAAGTGGGGTTTCCATCTTTATAAAAAAGCTATTTATGTATTGTTGTTGTTTTTTCATTTCCAGTTGTTTAGGCTATATTATGTAGATTTTGATTAACATTTGATTCATTTTGAGCCACAGAAGCCAGAAGAGCGAAGGTGCAGATTATTAGTTGATGTGATGGGCAATGCTTGATTCAATGGTATGTTACTAATAATGACTACGTTTCATCCAAAAAAACCCCCAGGAAATTCTCATAGTCTGTGAAATAAAATGAACGTACTGACTCATAACTCTTAGGTTCAAGGGTGCTGAGGACTCCCTTTCTCTCTCCCTCCTTCTCTCTCTCCCTCTCTCACTTTCATTCTCTTGCTTTTACTCTCATTCTTGCTCTTGTGTTTTTCCTCTATCTTTACCTTATTTCTACTTAAGCCTCTTTTTCCCTTACTGTGTGGAGGATTTCTTTACTCTGGAGGTAATGTGATCTTTGGAAAAAGGATGTCTATAATTTTCAGATATGTGGCCCAGTAGGAAAATTGTTTTTCAGCCGGTTCCATATTTTAAAAATCCAGAGAAGAAATATGACTGCCTTAACCGCCTGTTGGTCTAAACGCTACTGTCAGAAGATGATTGCATGTGAATAATTTGCTCAGAATGTCAGCAAATTTGGTAGAGAAGTATAGTTATTATGTCTATTGAATCATATGGTTGAGTGTGGATAAGCAGATCTCCAAAAGAAGTGAAGATACTGTACAGTGCAGACCAAAAAGTAATACAATACAAATATCATAAAGCTGCAGCCACCCAGTACATCCATATAAACTCATTCTCATAATGTGATCTAGAAAAATGCAAAAATTCCATGCAACTATCCACTGACAACCAAAGTTCTAAGTCCCATGTCCTTCTTTTATGCAACTAAAATCCCAAGACATTTGGATGTTAGTAAATATTCTCCCTCCACACACTGCTGTTTTTATTTTGAATTGACGATTTATAATTGTATAAGTTTATACAACAAAAAGTAACGGTATTATTTATTAACGCAATGTAACATAATTAAATCAAGATAGTTAACATATCTATTACCTCAAATATGTAACATTTTTGGTGGTGAGAATATTTGAAATTTACTATCTTAACAATTTTAAAATGTACAATCCTCTATTATTTTGTTTTGTTTTTTGTTTGTTTGTTTTTGTTTTCAGATGGAGTCTTGCTGTGCTGCCCAGGTTGGAGTGCAGTGGCACGATCTTGGCTCACTGCAACTCCTCCGCCTCCCAGGTTAAAATGATTCTCCTGCCTCAGCCTCCCAAGTAGCTGGGACTACAGGCATGCACCACTACGCCTGGCTAATTTTTGTATTTTTAGTAGAGACAGGGTTTTACCATATTGGTCAGGCACATCTCGAGCTCCTGACCTCGGGCAATCCACCCACATCGGCCTCCCAAAGTGCTGGGATTACAGGCTTGAGCCATGACACCCAGCCCTCTTTTATTAATTATATTCACTGTGCTGTGCAAAAGACCTAAAATAATATTCCTCCTCTCTGAGATTTTGTACCGTTTTGCCATCATCTTCCCATTTCCCCTGCCCTCAGGCTCTGTAATCACCATTCTACTCTCTGCTTCTATGAGTTTGATTATTTCAGATTTCACATATAAGTAAGACCATGTGGTATTTGTCTTTCTGTGCCTGGCTTATTTCACTTAGAATAATGCTCTCCAATTTCATTAATGCTGTTGCAAATGACATTTTTTTATTTGAAGCTAAATAGTATTCTATTGTGTGTATGTGTGTGTGTGTGTGTGTGTATGTGTTTGTGTGTGTGTGTGTGTGTGTGTGTGTGTGTGTATGGATACACATACACCACATTTTCTTTATCTATTCATCTGTTGATGGCATCTAGGTTGATTCTATGATGGCCATTGTGAACAATGCTGCAATAAATATGGGAGCACAGACATCTCTTCTACAAATTAATTTCATAACTTTTGGATAACTACCCAGAAGTGGGACTGCTAAATCATATGGTAATTCTATATTTTTTTTCAGAAACCTACACACAATTTTTCATATGGCTGCACTAATTCACATTGCCACCAAAAGCATACAAGGGTTCCCTTTCTCCTTATTGTTGTTGGCACTTGTTATCTTTAGTCTTTATGATAATAGTCATTCTTACAGCTATGAGATATCTCATTGTGATTTTAATTTTAATTTCCCTAATGATTGTCAATATCAAGCTTTTTTTCACATTTCCTTTGGCCATTTGTATGTCATCTTTTAAGAAATATCTATTCAGGTTATTTGCCCATTTTTAATAGTTTTTTTTTAAATTTTCTTGCCTTTGAGTTGTTTGAGCTCCTAATCTATTGTTAATATTAATCCCTTATTCGATGTATTGTTGCAAATACTTTCTCCCAGTGTGTGAGTTGTCTCCGCACACTGCACTGTTAATTGTTTTTATGCAGAAACGCTTTGTTCGATGTAAAACCATGTATCTAATTTTGATTTTATTGCCTGCACTTTGGAGTCAAATTCAAAAAATCATTGACGAAACCAATGTCCTGTAGTTTTACTCCTGTATTTTCTTCTAGTAGTTTTACAGATTTAGTATTAAGTCTTTAATCCATTTTTGAGTTGATTTTACATATGGTATGCAATAAGGGTCCAATTGTATTCTTCTGCATGTGGATATACAGGTTTTCCAACACCATTTATTAAGTGACTATTCTTTTTCCGTTAGGTATTCTTGGCACCTTTTTTGAAAATCAATTGACCATACATGTGTGGATTTATTTCTAGGTTCTATATTATTTTCCTTTGGTTGATTTTTTTTTTTAAATCTGTACCATGCTGTTCTAATTACTGCATGATTTGTGAGTAGATTCAGTTAGCATTCCTCAACTAAGAATAAACAGTATGGCAGCCAGGCAGGGTGGCTCACGCCTGTAATCCCAGCACTTTGGGAGGCGGAGGGGGGCGGATCACGAGGTCAGGAGATCAAGACCATCCTGGCTAACACGGTGAAACCCCGTCTCTACTAAAAATACAAAAAATTAGCCGGGCGTGGTGGCGGGAGCCTGTAGTCCCAGCTACTCAGGAGGCTGAGGCAGGAGAATGGCGTGAACCCGGGAGGCGGAGCTTGCAGTGAGCCGAGACTGAGCCACTGCACTCCAGCCTGGGTGACAGAGCGAGACTCCGTCTCAAAAAAAAATAAATAAATAAATAAACAGTATGGCTACATGACAAATTTGCAACTCCAGCACACTGAATGTAGAGTGAAAATGAAAAATTGTTTAAGAAAAGGAAACAAGAGGCAATACACCCTAAGTGAAGAACAGCAACAAGAAAAAGCAGACCGTTTTATCGGATAGGTCATAGTGAATGACAGTAGGTCATTTACTTTCTTCATAATCAAATGTAATCTTTCATCAGACTGTTTTTCTTTCATTTCTTAATTTCATTAAACATTATTTTTGAATTGAAAGATAAAATTGTGTGTTTATTGTGTACAACATGATGTTTTCAAGTATCTATACATTACGGAATGGCTAAACCTAGTGAATTCACACATAAATTAGCTCACACAGTTTTTTTGTGGGAACAACTTAAAATTGTATTATTTTCAAGAATACAATATATTGTTATAAGTATAGTCACTATGTTTTACAACTGATCTCTTGAACCGAAGAGATTAACGCTTCCATGTTTATTACTACATTTTTCCCAATAGCCAAGATATGGAATGAATCTAAGTGTCCATCAGTGAATGAATGGATAAAGAAAATGTGATGTGTATGTACAATGGAGTACTTACTATTCAGCCTTAAAAAAATAAGGCAATTCTGTTGTGACAACATGGATGAAACTGTAGGACATTATGTTAGGTGAAATAAGTCAGGCACATAAAGATAAATACTGCATGACCTCACCTGTATATGGAATCTAAAAAAATAAAAAGTTGATCATATAGAACTACCGAGTGGAATGGTGATTACTAGGGGATAGGGGAGTTAGGTGGTGGAGTGGGAATTGTTGTCCCTCATTTCTGGACAACTGAGAGATCCTCTGTGTTCTTCATAGTTCCTATCCATCTCTAAAAGGGAAGTCCTTTTTTAGTGTTTGTGGAGAACTAGGTAAGTTATTGGTGTAAAAAGTAATCATAAGACTAGACTACCAGACTTGGGATTTTCTTACATAATACCCCACCCCCCGCCCATAAAACACAATAAACCTCAGTTTGATTTGATTTCTAGGTTCTATCTTTGATAGTAGAAAATGCCAGAAATTTTTTCAAGGCCTTTGAATATGAAGATTATTCCTGCTATTTTTGTATCTCTGCCTTTCTTGTAGCACCCAGTTTCACAGATTCTCTCTTGTAAGCTGTTTCATTTAAATGTAAGTCAATAATTTGGTGGGCAGAATTTGTATTTCTTGTGTGAAAGCTCTGTATTTATAGTTGGCATTTTATAGTAGAAGAAAGTACTGCATGTCTTGGGTTGGGGTATATGGAAAGAAACCATAGGGAGGAACTTGGTGTCTCAGACATTGTCTATTTTTTTGGTTCCTTCAAAGTCTCATTTTTATCTTCATTTGTTAGTTCTATTTCTGTACCTAATACTTTTAGTCTCCATAGAACAGAATACTCCAAAACAAGCCTTCAAAATGAAATAAAGCCCTTGACTGTGGTTGCTGAATGGGTTTGGATCACTTGTCTCAAGCACAGAGTATCTCACTCCACCAACTCAAACTGAGTCTTACCTTTTCTGTAAGAGAATGCTGAGGATTGTAAGGTTGCCTAAATACTCCATATTTTATCAAATTTCAACATGGGTTTTAAATTGCTAGCTGGGTGGACACATTGGCTAAGTCCAGAGACAGGGTAGGTAATTACTTAATTAGAGGCTTCTCTTTTACATACAAAAATCAGCTTCTTAGCCAGAAATATGAGATTCTCTCTGCTCTCTTTCCTCAGATGCCAGAACCATATTTCTATTCTTTCACTTGAAACAAAACTTGTAAATGTACCACTTTTCTGTTAGTCATTATTCCTGGAGTAGCAAGTGAAAAGAAAGGGAATTCAAGCTACCTTATGCCAGAAATAGGATATACTGTCCCCTAAATTGTAAGAAGTCCATGACTGGTTTTAGGCATGACAAGGTTCAAGGATTCAAGATATGGCACCTGGGTTTGTAACTTTTTCTCTCTCAGCCTCCTTGCTTAGTTCTTTCTAAGTTTCTACTTCTCCTCCTGCACACAGTTTCACTCCATGTATTAAGGAAGCTGGCCTTTGCTAGTCCTTAACTGGGTAGAGGAGTCCCCAAAATAATGAGATTGTTGGACATTCCAAAATATATATTGACTATAAGTACTTAATGGAATGAACTGAAAGACCACAATAAAATTTTCATAATACAAATTCTCATATTGCACAATGAGTTTCTTCTGTACACCACACTTTTTTCTTTGTATAATGAATGCTACCTAGAAATCTTTTACATAGCAGATATTCAAAAATAAATTAAATGCTTTAAGTGACTGGAGTTTTTTGCTAAGTAGATAATTAGGGCATATTTACTAATAAATTACATTTTTGAGCAGTAAATAAATCTCCAGATTAATTTTTCTAGGTTAATAAAAACAAAGTATATAATGGTATTTTAAAGCATCTTATACTATGGGTTTTTTATCAAATTATACCTTCATCAAATAGGTAAAGCATTACATACTATAGGTATTTTTTTCAAATACTAGATATATGCATTTTTCAAACTCCCCCAAATTATGGCAAGTAAAATTAGGAGGAGAAAAAAAGCACTTAGAGTATTTATTGACAGAGAACATTAACATAAGCACTTTATGCTTGAAAACAGGCCCTTAAAACTATCTTGAAGATAAACTTGTATTAAGAAATTGCATTAATGTTGGCTTTTTGAATGTTATATTTCTGATTTCAGTTAGAATAGACCAAAAAATCCACAGTATTTAGTGACAGTTTCAACACCTACTTACCACATGGAAAAATTGTTAAATATTCTCAATAGTCACAAGTTGTTTACAGAAATCATTATTTTCTAAATACGGCAAATGATTTTTCTCAATGTTAGAGCATCCACATATGACTATAGTCTTAGGAATGACTATACAGAGAAAGAGTGGTCATTTGGCAAAATGTCCCTACAGAATAGATACCCCAGCATTTACAGCTGAATCCAAATGTTCAACAGATGGCAAGCAGAATATGTTGCAGCTGGAGCTAAAATATACTTTTTAGAGGAAAAATGTATATGTTGGAGAGAAAGTGATAACGCAAAAGAATATTAACAAGATACTTGAAACAATAGTGAAAAAAGGTCAGTCTAAGTCATATTATTAAAGTTTCATGCTGAGAAAAAATAATGGGACTCTGCTGGACTAATTTCAGCTTTAATTTATGACATGACCTTTGGGCCAAAATATGACATTATAATAAAGATGTGTCTTTCCTGTAAGCTAGATTTAGCTCTGTAGTAACAGTAACTTGTTTCATAATAAATCTGTAAGAATATTTTACTTTAATGTATGCATTGATAAAAACCCAAGCCATGAAGACATACTATTTCCATTCGTCTATTGTGTAATACTGCTGCATGTAAAATTAGATTCATATTTTTTGGGAAAAAAATGATTTGCTACAAATTTTAAATACTTCAGCAACTCACAAATATTACCAGAGCTTATGCAAATTATTTGCTGAAGATTAGCACTCTATTCCCATATTTATGTTATGACTTTCGTTGCCTACAAGGGATTTCTTGAATATGATTTTTATATTCTCATTCTCCCAGTGTTCATACCAACATTTTTGTTGTTGAATTTTCCAAGTAATAAACTTACCTCTACTTTATCAAAAGAATAAGTCAACATCCTTAATATAACCATTACCATAACAAGTCAAACTTGTAACACAATTATGATGGCCAACATGATTAGGAGCTAAATGGTAAACTGTGTAAAGTAGTTTCCAAATTTTACCAATCTATGAGGACTTCATCTCCTTATCTTTACCTTGAATTGTTTATTAATATATGCATACTAACATTGTTAAAATTGTGCCTTCAAGTTGAACATAATCAAAGCTAATATAACAATTTTTGGTTAATAGACCATATTAAAGTAAGTCAGGAATAAAATTGATCTATTCATTTCTAGACTCCATTTTCCTGAAAATCCATAGATATGTGTGTAGTGAAGTAAGACAGTTATGGGGTTACAATGACCAAAGCAAAACTTTATAACAATTGTGATGTTAAGTTACAATTAAGCGAATAATTGAAGTAAATTTTTTCATTATATTCAGCATGGTACAAACTAGTAACACTTTTATTAAGTTGAATTTAATCCATTCAGCCTAATACCTCAGTGTCTTCAGGTGTGACATACCATCATTTCAACTGTACTCTAGTGATCATAGAGGCAAACTCTGGCACAGTGTGGGAGAGGACTACACAAAGGTGTGAAAAACAGGAAGTGAGGCCTCTAGGCCTCTTACCAGCGTGGGAACATTCCTAGTGTTTCTCCTTACTTTCCCTAGGTGAACTATTATTACTATTTTGTAGTGTATTCTTTAGTGTAATTACTTGGCCAATGGAAGGATTTCTCATTTCACTACCCCATTAAACATATAATAATTATCATTAGTTTTAAATAATGTGGTGTTTTATATTTAACATCCCTTACTGCAAAATGTCCAACAGTCTGGAATTTCCATGTTATTTTGTTTTTTGTTTTTGGTATTTTTGATTTTTTTTTCATTTTAAGCCTTATCCTGCTGCCAACATTCTAACTTACCACTTACCCAAGTATATTGAATTTGAGGGGTATTGCGTGTTGGTTGTTGTTGTTATCTGTGTTGTTTTTTTTTTTTTTTTTTTCTGAAAAGCAGCCAAGAAAGTTACATTAAGGGGTACAGTAAAGATATGGCCATAAGTTATTTACTCACTTTTCTGCATTCAAGGAAGTCATTTTTCTTCATTTACTTCACAAAATCTGGGGTACCAGGAAAGGAATAAAATTGTTTCAACTGCATTTTGATATTGTGCATTAGAGTTTTATCCAAGCTTTAAATATAAAATCTGTAACCATTTCTGTTAATAGCCAGATAGTAAATATTTAGGACTTTGCAGGCCTAGCCGTCTCTATCATAGTTATTCAACCCTGCTATACAGCAAAAATCAGCCACACCAAAATAGTGAGGGTGACTATGTTCTAATACAACTTATTTAAAAAAAATACAGACAGTGAGAAGGACTTGACCTGTGGGCCATAGTTTGCCAACCCTGCTTTAGATGCTAAAACTTTCACTCACAACTTACTAATTACATCACTGGCCATATTCTTGATTTAAAATGTACTAAATATTTTCATTTCATTTTGTTTTGTTTCCATGAGTAAGGCAAAGAAATATGTGGAAGAACAAAATCATACATTTACTTATTTATTTCTTCTAATATTTACAGAGAGCCTTTAGAGCAAACTAGGCATTGTAGGTAGTGGGGGGTTTCAAGAGTTAAAACACAATAAAGAACAAGTTTCTGCTCTCAAATAGCATTACTTTTCCTTCCTTTCTTCCTTCCTTTCTTTCTTTCTTCCTTTCTTTCTTTCTTCCTTTCTTTCTTTCTCTCTGTTTCTTTCTTTCTCTCCTTCCTTCCTTCTTTCTTCTTTTTCATTTTTTCTTTCTTTCTTTCTTTCTTTTTTTTTTTTTTTTTTCAGGCAAACTCTCAGGATCTTGCTCTTTGCCCACACTGGAATGCAGTGGCATGATCATGGTTCACTGCAGCCCTTACCACCCAGGCTCAAGCGATCCTTCCTATCTCAGCTTCCCTAGTAACTGGTACTAAAGGTGCATGCCACCATGTCAGACTAATTCTTGAATTTCTTGTAGAGAGGGAATTTCGCTATGTTGCCCAGGCTGGTCTCGAACTCCTGGACTCAAGTGGTAGACCCACTTCAGCCTACCAAAGTGCTGGGATTACAGGCATAAGCCAGAACGCCTGGCCTAAGGTAGCATACTTTCTAACTTTTTTATGCCAGTAGTTATTCGGTGGAAAACGGTGAAGGGCTGAATCATTGACTACCAGTTCAATGTTAGAACTAAAATTGGTGTTAAGTTAATTATATTGCAGTTTACTAAGGATGCAGTATGGCTTTGTTGTTAAAAATATTCCCTATGAAGTATGACTTCCGGTATTAAAATCTTAGCTCTAACATTTGCTAGCTTGTTATATTAGATAAATTACCTAACTTTATGTGCTTCCATTTCTTTTTCTTGAATTAGAAAATTAGTAGTACCTATCACAGAATAGTGTTGTTTGGATTAAATAATAGATACATATACATTATTTAACTCATTTCCTGAAATTTAATAAGCACTAAATAATATAGCTATGATCATCTTAAAAATCTAAGACAATCGAAGCTTTAGTTCTTCAAACAACAGAATACATAAACTCAAAAATTTTTTACTGTGTAAATAAATACTAACCTTTCTAAATAACTTTCCCTGAAATATGGTTATTGAAGTCAGAATAGAAATAGACTGTATCTTTTTCAGCCAGACATTAAGAGGATTCACAATAAGATATGGTTCATTTATAGTTTGAAAAATCTAACAAAGTAGCTTTATGTTGATAATTATCTTGGGCATCTTTTATTGACTTTCACCAAAATCCAAATACAGATTACGTTATTTTATACATTAAATTTTGAAATAACATTTCCATATACTAACACTGCACTGAATTTGGACCTAGATTATAATATATGGGGATTATATTTCAGTTTGAAAAAAACAATGGCTAATCAGTCACTTATAAAGTATGCCCATGTCAGAAAGTCACACATAGTATACACACGTGTAAAAACACACAAGAAAAGTACCTGGCAGGTGGACAAATACAAACTTTCCCTCTTCTTGCTACAGAAAAGAAAAAACTGATGCCATTTTGAGAGACAGCTGTATATTTAGATGAGATTTTGGATTTCAAGTTGATGCTATAATGGGTTAATACATTTTGGGAATACTGGAATAGGTGAATAATGTATTTTGCACAAAAAAGGGCTAGAGGGCAGACAATTAGAGACTGAAACGTATCTCCAAAATATGTTGAAGTCCTAAACTCCAGTACAAATAAGTGTGATTTTATTTGGAAATAGGGTCTTTTGCAGATATAATCATGTTAAGATAACATTATGCCAGGTTAGGTTGGGCCCTGATCCAATATATCTGGTGTTTTACCAATAAAAGAGCAAGATGTATGGAGAGAAAGAAGACCATGTGACAATAGAGGAAAAGATTGGAGTTAATGATGCCACAGGCTAAGGAAAACCAAGGATTGCCAGTAACCACCAGAGGCTAGGAAAATGAGTCTCTGGAACAGATTCTGCCTCCGAGTGCCTGTGAAGGCACAGACCCTCTGACATTTTGATTTCAGACTTTTGGACTCTAGAATTCTGATACAATGCATTTTATGTTGTTTTAAGATGTCAAATTAGTAGTACTTTTTTTTTATGTCAGCCTTAGGAAACTAATAAAAGTGCACAAATCTTTTGTGTGTGTGTGTGAACATAAACCTTCTTGGGACAATCTCCCATCAAGAACTAAATTTTGAAAAGCATAAAGTCACAATTAGCCCCTGGAATGAAGAATCCAAAAAGTACTAGCCCTTTAATATAAAAGTAATTCCAATATTTTTTATTTCCAAATATTTTAGCCTATAGTATTATTAAAAGTAAATAATTTAGCAACAATATTACATATCCTAATTATACATACAAGTAAAAATTATATAACTTATCACTTAAATAATAAAAATATCAACAATGGTTCTGCCAAAATTTTAATTTACTTTAGATTCTGTTAATGGCAATAGATTAAAACTAAGTGGCCAACATAGGAAATACCATAAAAGAATTATTCCATCAGTACAGAGTTTCTTCAGAACTTATTTCAGCTATGTAATTATGCCTATGCTAAGATGCCATATGCATTAAATTAAATACATGTTAATCATCTATTTTCTTTAATTTATTAGGAGAGTCTATGATTCAGAGGCTTTCAGTTTAGGATCATAATTGTTCCAGGGACTAACTTTCAATAAGGATCTAATTTTCAATGAGAAGAGAATCAATGAATCAATTGGACTTGTATAACATTGTAGGGGACACAAAAGTGGTGACAAAAAAAAGTACTGTCTGTGCATTCGGGCAATATACAATGCAACAGATGGTAACATACTTTAGTGGTAAGTGTATAGTCTTTATAATATAAAAGATCTGAGTCAATACCATCACTACCATTTACTTGCTATGAAAGTCTTCTAAAATTCTCATGGCATGGTTTCACCAACAAAACAAAGAAGATTTTGATATAAGTAGTTCTCACCATTATCTCAAGAACCAAAATATATAAGATAAAGTATAAAGATGCTTAGTGACAAAATATAAATGCTTTATAACTGAGCTCTAAGTTTGTATACTATTCTTCCTTTTCACCTGAAATTTATGAGAACTTAATAAATCCAACTACATGTTTATATACTTCTCATGTTACATGATATGATATAAAAAATTATTTATCTATTATTATACCTGCTTTCAAAACCTTAATCCATCAACAGTACCATGAATGCATAAACGATGGCATATTCATTGAATGTAATACCAGTTGACGTTTAGATGAGAAGCAAAAACTACAAGCCAACAGATACATACATATAGAAATTTATAAACATTATATTCAGTGAAAGAAGTGACACAAGTGAGTATATACTGAATGATCCCATTTATACCAATACAAATTATTTATATATAATATAAAGGTCAAAACTATATAAAACTAATCTATTATATTAAAAGTCAAGATAGTGGTTGCTTTGTGGACATTAAAGGGATTTTAAGGTTCTGGTCATTTTCGTTTCTTGATCTGAATACTATTTACACAGTGATCGCTCTCATCACTCTGTGAAAATTAATTGAACTATACACTTAATATTTGAGCACATTGTTTTTTGTATATTGAGCTTTAATAAGAAGCTAACATGGAACATGAGCTCTATAATTTTGTAGTATTTTTAGAAAATAAACAGCTGAGCAAATAGTAAAAAAGAATGCTATGAAAGAATGTGTTAAGTACATTTCAATGCGGTGTTAACTGAAATTCTTCAAAAGCATGTGAGTCAAATTGTATTATAATATATGAAATATAAATGAGCCCAAGCATTTTAGAATGACTAGGTCTTTATCAATATCTTACCTCATTTAATTGCATATTTGTCTAGAAAAGTTGAAAGTCTCCAAATCATCAAAAACGTGTTAGCCAGGAAAATAATATGCTTAGAATATTCGCTAGTGTTTTAAAGGAAAATGATATATTTTCTATTGTTCTATATGGTTAATTCAGGATAGTATCTTAGATCTTTTGAAAAGATTCACTGCAGAATTTTGTACTTTTCTCATTTACTAAAATTTAGGATGTAACTTTTTTATAACTGTCATTGAACATAGAGATTATTGTCTAGAACATAAGCTACTGCATAAAGTTATCCACACCCATGCCAAAGTTTGTAATTCAATTTGTCCTGATTGTGCTGTGATCTGTGATCTGAGATACCCATAATCGCAAATACAAGCACCTCCCAAAAAGAAAGTGTCTGCTTCTTTACAAACAGGTTTGAAAGATGGCTGAAAAAGCCTTTCGAAGGTGTTAATAATAGAGCATAAATAAATAATGATAAATAAGAATGATAACAACTAGTAATAATAATAATGGCTCAGTGACATACTGAGGGACCACAGAAAAATCATAAAGGCCTAGAGCAGTCTCAGTCTTCAAGTATTTCAATAGCTTTCAATGAAATCTAAGAAGAGAAACACACCAAAACTTAAAGAAATAGGCATTGGTGAATAGATCTATGATGAGTGTAATAGAATCCTGAGGTTCAAAACAAAGGATACGGTTTAAAATACTGGTGGCGAAATGATTTAGAGGAGATGAACTTTGCTAAATATTACAAATAGACAAGCCACTTTATCTATCATTTATCTATATATCCAATCCTTAGTTACAACAGAAGAGCCAGTCATTGAGGGATGAAGCTAGGGCAGTTACATGATTTCACCACTATTCTCTACATATAAAAGTGCCAGTAACTCTTTTTTTTCTGGAGGGGGGATTCTTTTTTTTTTTTTTTTTTTTACTATTATTATACTTCAAGTTCTGGGGTACATGTGCACAACGTGCAGCTTTGTTACATAGGTATACATGTGCCATGTAGGTTTGCTGCACCCATCAACTTGTCATTTACATTAAGTATTTCTCCTAATGCTATCCCTCCCCCAGCCCCGCACCCCCCAGCAGGCCCCACTGTGTGATGTTCCCCTTCCTGTGTCCGTGTGTTCTCATTGTTCAACTCCCACTTATGAGTGAGAACATGCGTTGTTTGGTTTTCTCTTCTGGTGTTACTTTGCTGAGAATGATGGTTTTCAGTTTCATCCACATCCCTGCAAGGGACATGAACTCATCCTCTTTTATGGCTGCATAGTATTCCATGGTGTATATGTGCCGTATTTTCTTTATCTAGTCTATCATTGATGGGCATTGGGGTTGGTTCCAAGACTCTGCTATTATGAACAGTGCTGCAATAAACATACGCGTGCATGTGTCTTTATAGTACAATGATTTACCATCCTCTGAGTATATACCCAGCAATGGGATTGCTGGGTCAAATGGTATTTCTGGTTCTAGACCCTTGAGGAGACACCACGCTGTCTTCCACAATTATTGAACTAATTTACACCAACCGTGTAAAAGCGTTCCTCTTTCTCTACATCCTCTCCAGCATCTGCTGTTTCCTGACTTTTTAATGATCACCATTCTAACTGGCATGAGATGGTATCCCATTGTGGTTTTGATTTGCATTTCTCTAATGACCAGTGATGATGAGCATTTTTTCATAAGTTTGTTGGCTGCACAAATGTCTTCTTTCAAGAAGTGTGTGTTCATATCCTTCTCCCACTTTTTGATGGGGTTGTTTGTTTTTTTCTTGTAAATTTAAGTTCTTTGTAGATTCTGGATATTAGCCTCTTGTCAGATAGATAGATTGCAAAAATTTTCTCCCATTCTATAGGTTGCCTGTTCACTCTGCTGATAGTTTATTTGGCTGTGCAGAAGCTCTTTAATTTAATTAGATACCATTTGACTTTATTTTGCTGTGCAGAAGCTCTTTAATTTAATTAGATCCCATTTGTCTATTTTGGCTTTTGTTGCCTTGCTTTTGGTGTTTTAGTCATGAAGTTGTTGCCCATGCCTATGTCCTGAATGGTGTTGAATAGGTTTCCTTCTAGAGTTTTTATGGTTTTAGGTCTTATATTTAAGTCCTTAATCCATCCTGAGTTAATTTTTGTATAAGGTTTAAGGAAGGGATCCAGTTTCAGCTTTCTGCATAAAAAGACCCAGTAAACCTTGATGTCAAAGAAACCACAAGAAAACCCTGGCCAAGTAGTCTTAATTCTTGGTACTGTAGTGAACTGTGTTATTATTTTAAATTAGCCTATGGATATTGCAGGATTATTTATAAACACAGTTATGTTAAAATTATCAGAAAATCAGTTTTCAAGGAGAGAAACAAAATTCATGCATCAAAGAATTAAAGTTAAAAACTATTATTATCTTCTGAGTTGATGCCAAAAGGTTACTGAAGGCCAGGAGTTCTCACTATACAATGATGAGAACATTTGAGTGTCAAAAATAATAACAACTTCAACTGAATGAAAAACATAATACATGTAAATATATATTAGCTCATATGATATTTAAAACTACTCATTGAACATAATTTATTAGTTGTGCTATTATTTCAAAAGCCATATTTGGGATTAACTAAGCACTTGGAGGAAAAGCTCTTATAATTTTTCAAATAAAATGATAGAATTACAAAATAACAATTTTTAAATTCTGAATGAAGTAATTTATCTAAGGATTAATAATAACCAATTGATAAAACCGCTACCTGCAACATTTATTAGGTCATTTATAACAGAGGTACCAGGTTGTTAACAATTGAACACACTAATCAGTTTTACATCCTTAATAGTTGGACAACCATATATTTGTGCCTTTTGTTGTGGCTGACTTGCCAAAACTGATCCTAAATCTTACAAAACCTTTAAATGTAATTAACATTTTTCAGGGCATAATGAAAAAATCTAGACACTACAAGAAAAATGTGGAATTTTTTTATATGGCACACATTCCAGTTTATTCAATAAAAAACATTGCCTGAAGAAAAAAATAAAGCATTTTAAAATTATAAATTTTAAAAGACTAAAAACGGCCAACAAAATTGTAGCTCTTATTTAGATTCTGTTAGAAATAAACCAGCTATAAAATGAAAGTTGCAAGACGATTAGGGAAATTTAATGATGGGCCTAGATGATGTTATAGAATTACTGCCAAGTTTATTAGCAGTTTTAATGAGAGTGCAGTTATGTAAAATATTAAGCTTTTTTCTATTTCACAGTGAAATATTTATGGGTAAATGAGTTGATCATTTTAGTTTGTTTTAAATTACTTCAGCAAAGCAATAAATAAATAAAAAGTACCTATATACAAATAGTTTCTCCTATTTATCTACCAACATATGCCTATACACACGTCTGAATGGGTGAAATAAGATTGGGTTATGGATACATGAAAAATTATTATTCTATGCATTCTACTCCTGTACTTTCGTGTACTTTTAGAAATTCCACAAATAATTACATTTTTAAAATACTACCTACATTTTTGGCAAGATACCACTGTATGATCGGGGCCATGTATTCTGCAAACACATATACTACCGTTGCTTTGATGACCCCGCTCTAGCTGTAGTGACAACAATGCTCAAACAACCCAGGCCTTTCCATTTAACATTTGACATTTATTCTCCCTGCAATGTACTAGACCTGATATCGACATGACCCTCAACAATTTCAAGTCTTTGTTCTAAAGTCTTCCTGATGAGTCCTTCATTCATTCTAGTCAAAATTGACCAGTTCATTGACATAATTACTTATCTTCACTTTGTTTTAATTTTTATATAATTTTGTACAATTTTATATATTTTATATAACTTTAGTTAATGCCATCTAACTTACTATATATTTCACTTATTTTATTTATTGTTTGTATCCTCACTTCTCCAATATTATGTGTTCACCATGTCACTTTTGTTCAATCTCATGTATAGAATATCTAGAAAGGTGACTTGCAAATAACAATCACTTAAAAAGGATCTTTGAATGAATGGATATAACATGTAATAGAAAGAGAACATGTTTGAACTTAGAAAAAACTGAGCTTCAGATTAGGTGCAACCAGGTATTAGCTGATCTTGGATAGGTAACTATTCCCTTCTGAGACTAATTTTCTTTATATGCCAAATAGAAATAACAATACTTGACTTTAAGCATTACTATGAGAATTCAATGAAATACTGCTTAGCTACATACTTGGAATACAGGTTTGCTAATTCCTTCTTTTGTACTCATTATCACTAGCAAATTGATTATCATACAAAATTTACAACATTATTATAAGTAGTACATTTTTTGTGTTATAATAAATGATGAACTAATATTAATTATTTTCCATATAGTTATAATTCACTCTGATTTGCTGAGCTGTGGCTTGCATCAATGATGCAGCATCTTGAAGTTCAGTAATTCTTACCACAATTGCTTTCATAAAGATTATAATACACAAATAATACACACATTCACTAGAGTTTATATTTATGTTTGGAAAATTTCCTCTACGATTTGCTGAGATATGTTTTGCATCAGTGATTCAGCATCTTGAAGGTCAGTAATTCTTAACCACAATTGCTTTCAAGAAGAATATAACACAAAAATAATACATATATTCAACAGAATTGATATTTATGTAACATTTAAGTTTATTAATGAAATAAATTTACTTTTAATAACTCCAGGGGAATTTTAAGCCAGTGTGCAATAATAATTATTCTTCTATTCAGTCCCCCAGACAGAATATAGTATTTTGGTTTATCTAAAATACTTTTGAAGAATACAGGAGTCTATGATATTCAGGGGGAAGGTAATAGTGGACTAAAAAATGTAAAGCATCACACTGGGTCCAGGTTTAAAACTGTAACAGAGAAATCTAATTTATTCTAGAAATTTTAAAGAATTAAAAGGAAAGAATTTTGATATGCTAAAGATAAAAATGATTCATCCATGTGTTGTGCAAAGCATACACTTAAATCTAACTTGTTGGAGATCTATCACAAATGTATTTTAGTCCATGAGAAGCATATGACTCATTGTTTTTATTGAGGAAAAGACACAAAGGATATGAAATTATATCAATATTGTGATATAATACTTTGTGTTTCTGAATACCAGGACTAGAAAGATACAGTAACATTGTATTAGTTAAGTAGGACTGCCATAACAGTTTAAGTACCCCAGGCTGGGTAGCTTAAACAAAGATTTATTTCCTCACAGTTCTAGAGGCTGAAAGTCCAAGATCAAGGTGTCAGCAAAGTTTGTTTCTTTTTCTTGTGAGGCCTTTTTCCTTGACTTACAGATAACCACCTTCTCACTGTGCCTTCATATCATCTCTCTTCTGTATATGTTTATGTCTTAAACTCTTCTTATAAGGACACTAGTCATGTTGTACTGGGGCCCAGTCCAAGTGACTTCATTTAACCTAAATTACCTCTTTAAAGTTCCTATCTCAAACAAAGTCACATTCTGCTGTACTGGGGGTTAGGACTTTAACAATTGGAGGGGCAACTGATTCAACTCATAATAAACACTATTCTCTTGTCTGTTATTTCACCTTGGATCTTAGTAGTTCACTGTTTACATGGAAGCACTGAAGTGATGGAGATATTGTGATTCATTACTATGGAAGAAGTGTGCCAATATAATAGCAGTTACATTAGTAAACTCACTTTAATGAAAGCAATCAATTGGTATATTCTGCTATTACCTTCCAAAGGTTAAATAAAATCATCATAACCCCATGATCTCCACGTTTTATAATCTTTGTTTATAATTTTAGAGGAATGATTATCTTGTGAATACATTTTGAGTTAAAAAATAAGTTTGGATTAAATATTTTTATGTTCTATTTTGCTTCATTAAATTCAAATAAAAATAAATTTAAGATATTTTTAAATAGCATGCATATTACCCCTTTGAAAGTATTTCTATCTACGTGTATCAACTCTTTATTGATAATTTGCATTTTTAATTTTCTAAGTTCTTATTCCATTAATGATGATTAATATTTTAGTTAATAGTAATATTTTAGTTTAAATTGTTTATTTTTATGATTTGTTTTTGAAACCTACATTATTTTATCAGATTCAATCTATAGTCTAATCATTCTAAAATGAAAATATGTAGATAGGAATTTTAAAATTTTAATAAGGTGACTTTCATGCATACAATTGTAATTTTTTTAAATCTGATAATGCCATGAGTGATCATATCTCTATTTGTTTATTTTTTTCTTTCAAATTGTATGTTAGGTTTGGGGGTAGATGTGAAGGTTTGTTACTGTGCCACGGACTCCTTTATCAAAAAATCTTCAGGTGATTTCCTTGAAAATAGTGACATATCTTATTAAAGAAATTATTCTTCCAAGGACTACAGTAATTATTTCTGTCACGTATTGTATAGTCTCTTATACAACATTTCTAGCACCATCACAAATGTACTCAAATTTGTCCAGGGTACAAGAAACAATAAGCCTAAGTGAGTCACAATAATGGTAGAAAAAGTAAATATTGTTATATCTTCGGTGTCTGTGAAACTGAATGGACTCCACCTTTCTTAGAATTTCCTAAGTAATTCTAGACTTTTTCAGGAATTGTTCCTTTCTGCTCATCAACTAATCATCTTCCTAGTTAGTTTAAGGAGATTCGTTTATACATTTCCTGCTGCAGTCTGTTGAGATGATTCATCCTACCCGATAATTCTGTGCTGAAGCCTCCATTCTTGCCAAAATACGCTAAAGTCACCTATCAGCAGCAGGGACGTTGCTATAAAACCATCAAAGCATGATGCCCTTCAATGTGTTTTTTGTTTTTTTTTTTTTTTTTTTGCTTCAGTTGCAGGTTGACTCACTCCATGCTCATAAAATGTGTAATGTTCCTCATCCAATATCCTCACTCCTAGAGAAATTCTAAAAGGGAAGATACCTTTCTTCCTCACCCGCTTCTACTGAGTTGTTTAAAAAGCAGAGCTTCTTGTGCCACTGTTGCCTATGGAAATTTAGCAAAGCAGTCCTTTTAGTATCCATTTGTTATTCCTTCTGGTCCCCAGTCCCCTGGAGTCATACGTGAATTCCATAACATGGGGCTGGGTATTTCTAAGTGGGAGTCCCCATCCTGAACTCAATCACTCTAAGTGACAAGCATCTGCCATATTGCTATTGGACAAAATGTGTGTTATTGAATCCCTCTTTCCGTATTTTGAGTTGTCTTTCAGGTATCTCTTACGTCATAGCACTTATAGAATTGATTTTGCAATTAAATGTTGATAAATTGAATTATCTCAATGATCTGCTCAGAGTTACCATTTGCTTTCTTTTTTTCTTGACTCTAATGTTTTGAGAACCTTTATGATCTATTTTCATGTGTGTAGGTGATAAACATATCCCTTGATGTAAGTGTTCTGGGTTGCAATCTTAATCATATCATTATAAGATCAATATATTGGTAAGTTTTTTAATGTATCTATTCCTTAGTTACCTAATCTGTAACTGGAATATGAAAAATAGTTCTGGCTTAATTATAGTAAGTATGATAATGAATAGGACAGTAGTAGAATATTTTAAGGCAATGGATGGTATATAATAAACAATCAAAAATACTACGTGATACTATAAGTTGTTTTAGGATTAGTCAATTTTGTTGCCCTCCTCTGGCTAATGTCATTCTTCCCTTATACTATTAATAATTAATAGTTAACTCCCAATAACTATTAACATTATCCTTAGTTTTATTTAAGTCTCTCCAAACAGAAGAAACTTAGACATTTATGCTGAAATAATTAAAAATCAAGTCATCTACAACACTTGAGTATAAGTCGCCACTGCCACAAGATGAATGGTATTTGAACAATTTATGTATATATAGCTAAATTAGTTGATGAAAGGGGTAAGAATTCTTAGTTTCCAAGTCCACCATTTGCTTCATTTGCATGTTATTCTGGCAATGGAAAGATCACAGCTTGATGGGAAGATCAGTCTTTCCTGGGTGTCAGATTTTATGCTTCATTATAAATTTTTTGGTGCTTTTATAGAAAGCTTTAGCTTATCATCTGACTACTCATTTTCAGTTTAATGTTCTTAAAAACTACACTCAAGTCAAAGAAGGAAAGGGAGAAAGTCAAAATCTTTTGATAGTGAGAAAAGATATACAATGACAGGGCAAAATATTTTCTCTATTTTTATATGAAGACTTTTTCTATAGTAAAATGTTGAGAATCTAAACCATAAAACATTTCATTATGGGCTTTTGGTGTGTACAACATAATTGTGCTTGCTTTTCATTCTGATTAAATTTTTCCTCCTCCACTCATATGGCTTAGTTACATCAATACTAGTATATTGCAAATTTGTGTACTATCACAATGAATTTCTCACCCTTAGAAACTTCTGACAAAAACGAGAGAACTTTCATCTCTTAACATCTTTGTACCAAAATATACTTACTTTCTTGAGGCTTTTGCCTTATCCCTATTAACTAAAATATTCCTGGTATGTACACTAAAGGGAAGCAGATTTTGTCGACATTCGATTATCCATTATCTCATTTGACTAAATATCTCAATGTATTTTCCAGTAACCTATTTATTTTCCAAATGGTGTGTCATTTAAACTTTAATTTTTAAATAAAAATATCTTCTCTCCAACTTTTAAAAATCAATTTTCTATTTTTGAATGCTTTTACATTTATAGGTTAATAGATTTATATATTAATCAGATCAGATTAGCTAGCTTTATGCCAAATGTAAAAGAGGTATACAGGACATTCTTCCAGTTCTTGGAAATTTGTCACTGTCATTAAAATATATAACATGAAGGACAAGCCTACATTGTTAAAATGGTTATTGACTGAATTTCATAGAATCCTGTTTTTATGTTGCTTAGTTGCAATATCTGTGAATATTATATAATCTTGATCCTCAAAACATATGGAAATAATATTCTTCTGTGAAGATAATATCCTAATCCCAATATCTATGCTGAATTAATAGAAAATGTCAGGGAGCATGTCACTAAAAAATAAAAGAAAGCCTGCTGTCAAAATATGCTACTAAGACATAAATGACCAGATCATTTTGAAAACCTAACAAAATAACAGTTGCTATTTAGCAACAATAGAATTTAATTGCATTATATCTTCATATTTAATTGCACAGACTTCATTCGAAAGAGGTGCATTTAAATTCACATACTTTACTTTCATTCACAATACTGTTTATCTTAATTTACCAGTGATGTTTACTGATATGCTTCAGTTATAAGAGAAGGTCAAATTGTCCTCCTCAGGGCATTTCAATCTCTGCCAACAATTTTTATTTGCTGATCATAAATGTACCTTAGATTTCTGCATTGTTATTTTATGTAATAATGTCAAGGACAAACATTCTGAAGCATGTCTAATAACACTGAGATCCATTTTCTTCCCTCTACAATTCAGCACCCCATTAAATTGAAAGATAACAGAGCAGCTCTTTAGCTTCCTTGGTATTGGGTGTACTAGATTTTCCTCAAAAAGTTTTGTTTTTGTTTTCTAATTTTTCTCAATTCTTTTAAGTTGGAGAACATCTGTGCCCAGATTAAAATGACATATTAGAGAAGGTTCTGGTAGAAGAAAAAAATTCTACCACATCTTCTATGCTATTTTTATTATCTACTGAAACGATAAAAAAGCATGATAATGCTGAATGTAAATAATGCAAGAATAAAAGTTGTAGTAAGTTAGAATAGTTAACCTATATCCTATACTCTTGTTGAACATATTCCTTACTATGTAAACCATTTTTGAAAACTCACTTAGAAAATGTACAGTAAGAGCTACCCCTCTGTGCTTAAGGCAAATATGCTCACTGCTGTGCTTCTTTGTAACAGATCAGTAAACTATAATCTTGCTGATGAAAAAACCTACGCATTTGCCTGCCCATCTTTGCACCCCATAACAGTCCATCAAAAGTATTTCTTCAATGGATAGGTTAATGGTTATGCCAATATAGAATCTTTTAGGAGAATATTTCAATTTCTCATATGTTTTTTATTCTATATGAAGTACGTTTTTAATTATATGGTGGATATTAACCATTTTCTTTCATTTTCCTGGTAAACACGTTCCTCCAACCTAATCTTACCATTTAACTTTATTTTTGCTGTTTATTTTGCTGTACAAATTTGTTAAACTTTAAAACATTCAACTCTTTTAGATTTTTATATTTTTAATTTCATAAAAACTTATTTCCCCACATTCCACTTATAAAATACACAATACTTTTTAATGTATTTTCAAATATTAGTGTTTTATTTGGAATTAGAGGTAAGAATTCAGTGTGAAATTCCCTCAATTTGAATCTTGGCTCCACTCCATACCATGGGGTCTTATTTAAGTTATTCAACCTGTCTACTCCTCAGTTTCCTTATACATAAAAGAAGGATGATAACAATTTTATAAGTTGTCATGAAGAATAAATCAGCTAATATATGAGGGAACATTGAAGAAAGTCTGTGTATAGTGATCATTCAATAAATGCCAAATATTATTTTCAAGTTTACATTTGTTATTATTTGATTTATTTTGTTTTAATTTATTTTTTAATTTTTATGGGTATATAGTAGGTGTTTAGATTTACAGGGTGCATGAGATATTTTGATAAAGAAATACAATGCATAATTATCACATTAGGGCAAATGGAGTGTTATCCCTTCAAGGATGTATTATTGCTAAGTGCATAATTATCACATTAGGGCAAATGGAGTGTTATCCCTTCAAGGATGTATTATTGCTAAGTACAATATGCAGAAGAGCTCTATGAGTATGTGGATGTCTTAATTGGCTGTCAATTCCTTTCACATATTTGTTTGATTACTCATCATTTTACCAAATATTTAAAACGTCTTTCTTAGTGTAAAACCTAAAATCTCATCTATAGATATTCCTATTTGTACACTCTTGATTTTATCCCATTGATCTATGTGTCTGTTGATATGTCATTTATGTACAGTTTTAATTTTTCCAGGAATATTGAATCTGACACCTAGATGTGCAAGTCATTAGTCATTCCAAAATCTACTTCTTCCTCTTACTCTGTTATCAAATTAGATTAATTTCTTAACAATTCTCCTCTAGATAAATTATGGAAATGTTACCAAAAAAAGCATGGAAATTTCACCTGAAATGATGGGGTTTGTAAATCAATGGTGAAAAAAAATGTCAACTTTACAACATTGACTCATTTAAGACACAACTATGTCATGTATTTTACTGATTCATGTCTTCTTTTGTGTATTCTAGTACAAAAATTTTTGCTTTCTTAAAATATATTTTGGCCCTTTTGAAAAGAAAGATATGCTTTTTTTGCTATTTTAATGTGGTTTATGTTAGGATATTAAATAAATTATATCAATAAATTGAACTTTAAAATAAAAGTAATCTTAATGTCTTGATTGGCTATTAATCAAAATAATGCCACCGTGATAGATATAAACATTGTCCTTAATATGCAGTACATACATGTGCATACCTATAAACTTCAGTATTTTTCAAGTGTGTGAGGTACTATGAGGCAAATAAAGTATGACTTACATTTTTACTCAACTAATTGTCAATACATAGGGAGGTGACTCATGTATTAGCTTTTGCATAATGTGCAAGAACTGCTCATTATTTACTAATTGTTAAAGAGAGTTCTTTCTTTTCTGGGTAAATATGCCTGCTGGCAGCTATTCCTGCTCAACTCACAGTTGATATGCTTCACATCTAGTTATCAACACCTGGATTTAGGAGTAGGCATTTCTAGCCATTTGGAGTGTCATACAACCTGGTCATGAATATTCAGCACCACTAATATGCAACAAGACCTATATGAGATCACAGAGAGAAGCATTTGTTTTTTCTGTTCTGTACTTCAACCCAAGAGGATGTAGGGAGTAGCTGTTGCAGTCATCTACTTATAAATCATTTAATATTGATAATGCATAAAATATGAAAGAAAGAAGACCTGAAAATTGCATAGACAGAAGTTAGACTACTTTTTAAATTTTAGGCATGTGAGGTGAAGAAATTCCATTTTTAAAAATGGTTTAACCAAAGTGTACAAAACTATATAAATTCCTTTTGCTTTTCATATGCATTTTGAAGGCATATGTACTTCAGGAGTCTAAAGGGGAGATGCATCACAACTCTATTTTGAATATAGCAAATTTCCAACCTTACTTCTATCAGTGAGAAAGAATTTTAAAGGAAGAAACTCAAAAATGATTGACTTTGGGATTTGTATATTTTAGCAGACTGCTTTTAATCTGTATTTTCTTGAATTTAATTTTTGTCTTTATATTTTACAATTGTACACATTTGGTAAATGAAAATCACTTCTCTATGTCTAAAATGAATGCAAAATCCCCCCTAAATTCTCAAGTTTTATTAAGGTAATTAGGTGTATCAAACCTTACAAATGTCAAAGCTGAAACATAGATTTAGGTTGTTAACTCCTCGTCTACCATAATGAAAACAAAATTTTATTTCAGTGGTTACGAATCAATTAAGAATCAATTCTTAAATAGTACTATTACCATGGTTAAATTATATGCTTGTGTAAATAACTTTACTGGAAGGGAAGTCGAAGCAGTAGAAGGCCACAAGAAGGAATACGTCTATTCAAAAAGGTTTCTGTTGCTTCTGCCATTTTCTTAGTCAAAGGTAAACATTCAAATACATATTTAAGTTAACCAAAATAAAAACATGAAAACAATGTCAAAGCAAAAATTGCACTGGAGTAATTTAAATATGAAAGATAAACTTTATTCAAGTCTATTGCTTTGAAACTAGGACTGGAAAATTTTAAGAGCCAAAAAATTAAGAGCTGAAAGGGATAGATCATAAGCCATTTCTGCTAATTGGCTTTGCCCACAGAAAAAGTAAAATTTCTCAAAGCTTCATGACAAGAGGTACCTTTCTAACTTTCGACAATGAGCCTATCAAAGTTAGGCTCCTGCTCTCCCACAGAAATTTGGGAATAGGGACTCTATATTCCTTGATGATTACATTTCTAAGGGATGAATTCAAAGTTCCCAGGAAAAGAGATTTTTGTAAACTGGAAAGATTTTAAAAAATATTTACACCTCACAATAAAATAGAATGAATTGACAATGACAAGTTATCTAAATTAGGTGCTCTAAGGAAAGAAAGATGAAGGGCCTAGAGTCAGAAAGAAGCCTGTCTTCTAAAGTTTAGTCAAACTGAGGGACATTAGGATTTCTTGCAAATATCTGACTGCTTTCACAAGCATCTCAGAAACACAATTTAGAACAATTTGTTCTACTCTGGACAAAATTGCTTCTAGCCATGTTTCCAAATATATGACAATATATGGAGTCTTGCAGGAGAGTATGACTGTCTTTTTTATTGGAGAAGATATCAAATATCTTAGCAAGTACACTAGGCAATTTGTTATTACTGTAAAAAGTTTAAATTGATTCTGTTTTGAATTTTGATTCAGTCACTTACCAATACACAAGCTTAGAAAAATTACAACACAAATCTAGACCTTAATTCTTCAGTGAAAATGTCTAATTCTTAGGGTTGTGGCTAGGAGTATATTAAATAAAATTTGAGCAGTGATTATTATATTGCAAAAGTACAATGTATTTTAACTATTAATTTTTTTTTACTTCAAAAACAACTTGTTAATTTTCCAAAGTGTTGACACTGGTAAGCATGAGAAATCTGTATTGTGTATGAATAAAGTCAATATACTCCAGATACTCAAACTCTAGCTGCTTCCAAAATCACCATAAGTAAAATTGACTTCTTTATATGCAGCTAGTGAAAATATTTTCATCTTCAGTTTTCCAAAAAAAGAAGGGCAAACTACTCTGCTTTTAAATATGGAACTCATCACATAGTGGTTGGTTTCATTAAAAAGATATTTACTAAGAGACTGTATCTCAGAACTTAAAAGCCCTCTAATAAAATACATTTGTTGTTACAGCTCTGCTGTAACAGAGCTGTGCTCTGTTTTCTTGTGCCCACCTGGGTAAATAAAAGAGGTCCTACTTACAATAAATTTATAGCCTATTATAGTGAATCGTGACCATAGTTGCATTATTAGGATGACCTAAAAAGAAATTTCCAGTAATTTCCAAACCAGAATCTTATCAAAAAAAATGTATATGATATTCATACTGTTTGAAAACATCCTGGGCTCAGGGCTGAGAACTATTGATGTAGTAGTGCATAGGCTCAGAAACAACAGTAAAATAAATAAATAAATACTTGCCTGTTCTGTTTACACTAAAAGTATATAACTATTCAATATCAAGACAATATTAGTACATATTTGCAAACTAGAATTTGGTTAATTAAAATGTAGAATATGTAACTAATAAAAGATAAGAAACCAACTATTTCACATTTAATAATTGTTGTCAAATTTATTTGAGATTATATAGAATGATACTATAGAAAATTCTTTTTATTTCAAGTTTAGACATTCTGTATATTTTGAAAAATGACACAGAAAGTAGGTCTGCTCTGGCCATTTGATAAAATGTCAAAAGCAACATGCGATTACTTCTTTGCTCATTTAAATTTTGATTATCTTTAAGAGGTCTATTCATAGAACACTTCAGAACACCTTCTCTTCACATTCTTCCATTTAAATATTTACCTGCAATGCTCAGATTTACCCCTAGCCCTAAAGCATCACAGGACATTTAATAAGTCATAGCTACTAATAACAATGTTTGAAACTATAATTAATATAATGACTGGACTAACATACACAGGAAAGAAATATAAGCACATATTGATCATTTTAAATTGATATGCCAATGATGAGACATTACTGTCATCATAAATTTCCACACTTTCAAAATGAATCATTTACTTTGGTTGTGCTCCAGATTCCAGGCAAGTTAATGTCCTAAATAATTTTATTTGATTTCATAATAAAAGCATTTCAATGTTACTTAATTCTTTATTCCCAAAACACCTGCATTACTGATCATTTTAGAACTAAGAATTCATAAAAGCAGGCAATATATTTTATACAGTTCATTTAATTTAAATCCAATTCTATGACTATATCTTTAAAAGATGTTTTGAAATTGTATCTTTGATTTTATTGAAGCTACTTAGTAAAGTCAGAGGGCATTGTACTGTAAGTTCTTTGTGTCTCTCTTTGAATAAGGATACTGCATAACCAGATAAACTCAGTGAAGTGTATAGGATCATATTATCTAATGCTGTTTGTGATGCTTTAACACACGCTTCCTGAGAGCCAAAGAAAAATGTGTCCTCATTGTAGGAGTAATAAACACAGGCAATTACGCATAATTATGGAGATTAAGTTCCAATTAAGGCTCAATTTCAATAATATCCCCATCCACAAATCTTTTCATGTTTTTACTGATGTGAAAGAAGATCAAGGTAACTCAAGGTATTAATCCCTACTAAGGTTAAAAATAAGTTTGATTAGGGAGTTCTGCATGTATTCCAGTATTCTAGCAGCGTGACATGTTCAAGAACATTTTTCCATTTGCATTTGGATTTGTGCAGTTTTTTCTAGAAGCATTTAAGATCCAAGGAAGAGTTTTTATATCCCCAAACTACAGTTACCACTTGGAAATATGCAAAAGAATCAGTTGTCCATCCGGTTATATCTATAAAGGGATATTTTAAATGTCAATTGCAATGTTGCCTACAAAACCTTAGAATATTTCCTGCCTAAGCCTAATATCATCCTTTTGGACTACCAATAAAAGCTTTCACATGTATATTATTGATAAATAGAACAATGGAAGAACACAATATGACATAAGAAAATGTAATATACGTCATTCCATTAAGAAGAAAAGCAAATGAAGTTATTTCTTTAAAAAAAGAACCAGAAAGCTAAATACGACTGCTAATTCCACGGTAAATTCATTGCTGGAAATATTAAAATTACACAATGAACTTTGGGAGGCCGAGGCAGGCAGATCAAGAGGTCAGGAGATCAAGACCATCCTGGCTAACACAGTGAAACATCCCATCTCTACTAAAAATACAAAAAATTAGCTAGGCGTAGTGACACGCGCCTGTAGTCTCAGCTACTCGGGAGGCTGAGGCAGGAGAATCGCTTGAACCCTGGAGGTGGAGGTTGCAATAAGCCAAGATCGCACCACCACACTCCAGCCTGGCCACAGAGCAAGACTGTCTCAAAAAAAAATTATACAATGAGTTACATCTTCTAATCTAAATAAGTATTTTAAGTATTCACTTCCTATTCCTCTCTTTATTTGTATAAACACTGTTATGGTCATTATATATATTATTTTTCTAAATCAACTTTTTGAATATGTACTGTGTTTGGCATTGTGATAAATTATTCTGCATGCCTCTATATTAAATAACTCCTACAATTATCATCTTCCTACAGATGAGGAAACCATGGCTTACAGAGTTTAAGTACCTTGATTGCTATAACAGCTAGTAAGTCGCTGGGTTTTGAAACCATATGATTATCTTGTATGCTTAACAAAGTGCCTTATTCAAAGTAAACGGCCATATTGATTTTAATGTAAATATCTATACAACTTGATATCACAGTATTCTTCATTGTAGAGAGCAAAAGAGAAAGGGATATACCGTGTCCTTTGTGCACAGGGCTATAAATTCATACCATATTTAGGATGAGTATACTGAAATAATAAGTTGATTGTGATAAGTTTTTCTACAGAGCATTCTGTGATCAGATCCAAGAAGAGTTTCTTCAGCCTTGCACTTTGTGGCCAAAGGTCTTTCCTGGTCTGCGTCTTGCAACTATGCAACTCTATTTTTTTAGATTTTGTTTTCTTAGAGCTTTTACTCCTCATTACCCACTACATTTCACACACATATTGACATAGCATGTCACCAATAAAACAGAATTGGTATTACAAGATAAAAGACAAAACAAAACAAAAATGAAACTATTTAACTTTTTGAATAAGATACTTGAAACTTGGAAGAAATAACACTTGAGTCTATTTTTATCTAGAAGAATCCTCCTCTATGGTCTGCTATTATTTAACAAGAATATGGAAGATACATTGTTCCACTTCTTTAAGCAATTATGTTTTTTTCCCACTGGGAGCATATTAGAAAATATCAGTGGAGGGGGAATTTGTGTTTTCTCCCTTACTAGTGAATTTTTAAACTGCAAAGACACGTAGGTGTTCATCACTCACTACATATAGTACCAAAAAGAATTAAACATTAAATGTTTGAGAAAAAAATCATTAATGAATGGATATTATGGAATCTGACTAAAAAACAATATAAAGCCAATTATCCTACACTAGATCAGGCTTATATATTTCAAACAACTTTCAGGAATAAATATATTACGTCCAGAAAATAGTGGGATATTACACCAGGATCAATTATCTACTGATTACTAAATTTAACTGGTATGTGAAACAGATAGGTTTCATTCATGATAACACTAATTTTGTTAAATAACTTTTATCGTAAGTTAATGAAAATAAAGGAGAAGTGATATGGTACATTTTGAGAATTTTAAGGTGTGAAAACACATTTATTTTGCTTTTCACAATGAATTGGTAGTGAGAATGGGTATAAAATTATATGTGGAAAAAAATTCCTCCAGATTTTCATGAAGAATATTCTAATGCTTTATAACTTCCACTGTCCCTGGTTAAAAGATTGATGATATTCTGATTTTTTTGTAAAGTAATTATAATTCTTTAAATTTACCAGAACCTTGCAGAATCTTGTTTCTTGTCTCAGTATTCTGATGTCCAATTATGTGCGTTAGTATAAATCTATTTTAAACCTTTGCATTATGACTCAGTGATGACTTCCTTCCACCTAGAAAATATTGGATGTATTTTGCTGAAACTTTGCTTAATTATCTACGACTCATTTCCTTGTGTTTACTCTGTTCTCTCACTATGGGGTAAGTCTTATTAAGATCTGAACTGTTTCTGAAACTTTGAAGTCTTTTTTTTACCCCTTTTGAATTTTTGTTCACATTCTGAGAGAGAGCTTATTTTATTTTTCAAACATTCTACTGAATTTTCTACTTTGTGTTTCATATGTTTTTTTTAAGAACTCTGAATGCTGTATTAGAGAGTTATTCAAAATGTATTTGTATTTATGGATGTAATAATGACAAACCTTTTCTTTGTCTTTACTTTGTTACTTATTTACATTATTACCTTGTTTTGGCCACTAAGAATCAGTATTTACATTGAGAATGAGCTTAAGGAGGATCTGAAGATAATGCACACATGAGAAAAGAAGAAAGATCTAAAATCCATCTAAACTTCAACTTTAGTATATAACAAACAAGAGAATAAAAAAGATGGAATCCAAAGTAAGTGAAAAAAAAATAAAAAGGGGCAAAAAATAAATGCAACTTAATATAGAAAATTAGTAGAAAAAAATCAACAAAATCAAACCTGGCTCTTTATAAAGATCTAAAAAGTTGATGAATTGCCAGCCTGAGTAACCTGGAAATAGTGAAATGTAACAAAAAGGATGAATTTCAGAAATGAATAGCCGTTCCTAGTAATCCCATGAGCATTATAAACAACTCTGTGCCCATAAATTTGATAACTTACATAAATTGGAAAAATTCATTGAGAGACACAATCTACCAAAACTCATACAAGATAAAATAGATAATCTGAGTAGTTCTCTGTGTATTAAGGAGAGTGAAGCAATAATCAATAACTTTCCAAAGCAGAAAGCACAAAACCCTGATGGTTTCACCGATGAATTATACCAATCCTTTAAAAAAGAAATGATAATGACCTTCTGAAATCTCTTTTAGATAGTAGAAACTGATGGCACAGTTTCTGGTTCTTTAAAGTCAGCTTTATGCTAATATCAAAACAAAAGACTTCACAAGAAAGAAAAACTGCAAACTAGTATTTTTCATGACTATAGAGGTAAATATACTCCACAAAATATTAGCAGATTAACTCCAATAATATATAAAATAAATCCCATCATGGTCTATTGAGATTTATTTCACCTATATAAGAATGTTTCAAGATCTGAAAATTATTTAATGTAATCTACCACATCAACAAGCTAAAGAAAAAATACAGAATTATTTTAAAGATACATATAAAAATATTTTACAAAATCCCACACTCATTTACTATTTAAATAAAACCTCTCAGCAAACTAGGTATAGAGGGGAACTTTCTCAACTTGATAAATACATCTTCACAAAAGCTACAGCTGACATCATACTCAATGATGAGAAACTAAATAATATTGTCATCCTCAGACCAGGAACAAGGCATGGACAGCCACATGCAAAATAATAATAATAATAATCTAGACAAAGATATACCTTTCACAAAAATTAAGTAAAAATCTATCATAAACTAAAGGTAAAATGCAAAACTATACAACTTCTAGAAAATAACCCAGGAGAAAATGTAGGTGACTGAGTTTGGTGATGACTTTCTACATACAACACCAAAAGCATGATCCATTAAAGAAAAACACGAACGTTGGACTTCATAAAATTTTAAAAATTTCTGCGTTGAAAAAGAGTCAGGAGAATAAAGAGATAAATTACCAACTGGGAGACAATATTTGCAAAGCTCATATCTGATAAAGGATTGACATCCAAATATACTAAAAACTCTTGGAACAATAAGTAAACAAATAACTCATTGAAAAATGGGCTAAAATGGGTTCACTTTAGATGACATAAACAGACACTTCATCAAAGAAGACAAGCAGATGGAAAAATAGCATATAAAAAAGATATTCAATATCATTTGAAGCTAGAGAATTGCAAATTAAAATAACAATGAGATACTATTACATACCTTTTAGAATAGTAAAATCTCAAACACTGGCAACACCCAATGCGGGCAAGGATATGGAGCAAAAGGAACAATTATTCATTGCAAATGAGAATGCAAAACATTACAGCCACTTTCTAAAAACAGTTCGGCAGTTCCTTGCAAAGTTGATAGTAAGCTTAACATCATAACATCCTGCAACTACACTTGTTGGTGTTTACCAAAATCAGTTGAAAATTTTGTCCACATGAAAACCTACACACAAATGCTTACAGCAACTTTCTTTATGATTTCAAGTAATTGAATGCAATCAGGTATCCTTCAATAGATGAATGCATAACCGAACTGTGGTGCATTCAAACAATAAAATATTATTCAGAGATGAGAAAAAAAGTGGCATATCCAGTTATGAAAAATGAATAGTAAGAATAGGAGAAACCTTAAATATCTATTACTAAGTGAAATAGGCCAGTCTGAAAAGTGTACATACTGTATGTTTTTGACTATATAACATTCTGGAAAAGGCAGTAAGTATTATAGAGAGAATAAAAAGATTAATGGTTGTCAAGATGTTATGAAGGAAAGATGAACAGGGGAATAAATATGGATTACAGAATACTTTTTAGGGCAGGAAACTATTCTGTATGATACTATAATGACAGACACATGAATTTATTCATTTGTCAAAACTAATTGGACTGTATAAAACACAGAGTGCTTGCACTTGTTAACTATTACCTTGGTAAATAATAATATATAAATATTGGTTTATCAGTTTTACCAAATGTACCACATTAATGCAAAATGTTGATTTTTGCAAAAATGTGTGTGAAGGATTGGGGGAAATATGGAAACTCTGTACTTCACAGTTTTTCTATAAAAATAAAACTAAAAATAAATCTACTAATTACGAAAAAAATCATGCAGAATCATTGGTTACTTTGTGCCAGAAACTAAAATAGAACACTTACTGATTCACAAAATGAAATGATGAGGCATGGTCTTCATACATGTATCAGTTTGGGAAATTTGCTTAAATTCTTTCAATTGCTACATAATACTTCCTAATAAGGAACAGAGTCTTAAATTAGCATGATATTGACCCTGTCAATCTCTTAAGATGCCTCATCTCACTTCCCCACTCCTTCTCATTAGCCATGCTTCCCATAAAAATGTTTTCTTTACAATTTAGAAACATATAATAATTTTATTTTAAACCATTATTTTTATTTGTGAATACAGTCTCATCACTTTTGTACAAACATATAGTTTTATACCATAGTATTTTAAAGGATTTTACTTTATATATATGTTAAAATTATGTTTTCAAACATTAATTTATACAGATTTATTATGTAGATAACTCTTCAACATTCCAGGTAATGTTTCAATCTTGGGATACAGTTGTGAAGAAAACAGAATCCTTCCTGGAACATACATTCTAGGAGACAAAAAACTTTAAAAATGCATATAATGACTTTAAAAACACATTAAATTATGAGTGACAATATAGTCATTACCAAATATAATTTATAAATTGTTATGCAATAATATATCATAATACATGGGATGTATATATGTATATATACACACATTATAATTATCATAGTATTACATACAATGATATATAATTATATATACATAGTTACATACATATTGTATATGTGTGTATATATAATATTCTAATATATTATAATGTGGTATGCAATATTATACAATTTATATATGTGCCCTGTGTGTGTGTGTGTTTGCTTGTGGGTGGTAACAACCATAATGTTACATTAATATAGTGTGTTTTTAAAGTATTGGATCTTGTGAGCTTTAAACATTGCCTAGGATGAAGAGGATTTGTCCTGATAGAAAATGTGAATAAATAAATTAATATGAGAATAAATTTTGGCATATCCATACAAGAAATTGATATGCAATAAATAAAATGTTGTAGTATACAACCGTAAACTGATATATAAAACTAATAAGTGACATGTGACATTATAGGTAATATAGAATATATATTATAATAATCATAGTACCACCTGTAATTTAATGTCATGTATTAAACCAATCACCACCTTTGGATCTCTAGGTTGTTTCCTGTATTCTCACTAATAAAAAATACCTTGTCATGCATATGCTTCTTGAGAGCACTTTAAACATTTTTTGTCTTAGAATTCATTTTTAAAAACTAAAAGATATGTATGATTTCAAGACATTCCATATGTAAGCTACATGCAATCAGGATGGTAAATGTCAAACTTCAGGATATGAAAGAGTAACTACTACCTTAAAGCAACTCATGAATGAATGAATAATCAATTTCATAATGTTAGTATCTCATTATATTATAGATGAATAACCTGACGTCCAGAAAAGTTAGTAGTTTCTCTAGGTCATAGCAATGATAGACACTAGAATCTGACTGGTAGACATTTTATCACTGTACTTATTTAATTTGGTTATGATGGCAATCATAGCCATATAAATTATATTTGAAGAATTCTTTTTGTAACCTCCAATATCAAATAAAAACAATGTTGACAAGTGTTAACAGGTACTAGCAAACACCTGTTAACAAAAATTGAGATTTAATCATAATACAACAATGTGACATTTTTCAAAGTATGTTTTACAAATGTGGTTCCCTGTATTATTAATAAGAATTATACAAAATAAGTGATTCGGAGTTTCCATTATTAATAGCTAGAGAAATACATGGCAGAACAAAATAATCAAATTTCTTAATGGTAGGTATTATCAGAATTTTTAATGTGACATGTACTTTTTAAGTTCTTCGAAAGGAAACATGCCAATATTATTTATTTTAGAGGCCCTCTCACAAAACTACTTTTTTTCTTCCCAACTTTTAAGTTCAGGGGTACATGTGCCGGATGTGCAGATTTGATACATAGATAGATGTGTATCATGGTGGTTTGCTGCACAAGTCATCCCATCACCTAGGTATGAAACCAATCCATCCATTAGCTATTCTTCCTGATGCTCTCCCTCCCCGTACTCCTCACCCCCCAGTAGGCCCCAATGCGTGTTGTTCCCCACCATGTGTCCATGTGTTCTCATCATTCAGCTCTCATTTATAAGTGAGAACATGCAGTGTCTGGTGTTCTGTTCCTCCGTTTGTTTGCTGAGAATAATGGCTCCAGCTCCATCCATGTTCCTGCATGATCTCATTCCTTGTCATGGTTGCATAGTACTCCATGGTGTACGTGTACATTTTCTTAGTCTTTCACTGATGGGCTTTTGGGTTGATTCCATGTCTTTGCTATTGTGAACAGTGCTGCAATGAACATACGCATGCGTGTATCTTTATAATAGATTGTTTTACAAAACTATTTCTTAATAATAAAATGCACAGTGTAAAATATCATAAAATTAGCTCTAAATACATAAAAATTATATTTTATCAATGTAAAGCTAGCTTTAAATACATAGGAATTATTATATTTTGAAATAAGAAACACAATTATTAAACCTAACAAAATAATAAACTATTATGCTTTGAAAAAAAAAAGAAAGCAAAACAACTCTGACTAAAATCACACAGGAAGAGACTGGATAATCATTCATTCATTTAATAAACCTTTAGGGAGAACATATAGAATAGGTTATTACAATTTAGAGAGCAAAGACAGCCCACGACCTGAAGAGTTAGTAGCCTGATCAGACATATTGGTGGGAATCTTAGCTGATAAGTGGCTCCTAACAGTGCAGAAGTTATTCTGAGTTCAGAGAAGCAGACACTAACTTGCTGAGTGATTATAGTTATTATAGATTTTTGTGGAAGTGACAACTAAACTTTGAAATGTGATTTGACCTTTGTGAGTGAAAGAAGCAGGAGATGGAAATTGGGTGCTTAGATCTCTAATACAGAATGAAAACACTTTACGGTATTAACTACATCCTGGAGACTTACCTAAGATTTACTGTCCTTTTTGCTCATTCGCTTCTGTAACAATGAATAGCCCCATCACCAAAGAGAAGGGTGTTTGGTTTTCTTGGTTTGTTTTGCTTTGCTCTATTCCCCTCATATAAGCAAATATCTAACATCTGAAGTGGAACTGAGTTAAATGCAGATGTTTGGGCATCTTGCTGGATTAAAGGTAAACATGGCAATTTATGGTGGTATCTAAGGCTATTTCGAGCACGTTTGACTAATTATATTGATTTTGTATTTATGGTAACATCTTTATTAATAGGGTTTAAAGATTAACAGCTTTAGTTTCTTATATATCAGCACAAAATAATTAGTACTGTTTTGTCTTAAAAATAACAAAAAATCACCACAAACCCAAATTAAGGGTCTTATTAACCATTTCTGTAGAAATATAGCATTCAAGGGTAACAACTTAACAACATCCTCTGTATTATTCACTTACAAGAACCTCAAAATACATCTATGCATAAAAGATCTTCTACAGGAAGCTATAATTCTGTCCTAACTGCTGTGTATGTATACTTTAAAGACGTCCCAGGTGCAACCTTTCTGCCTGGCCACTTTAAACCTCACAGATGGTTCTCTCAATATGTATTATGAAATTTCCACTTTGGTTCTCTTTTCCTGCTCTTTCACTAAAGATCAGGAAACACTGATTTGATCAAATACATCAACCACTTTTATTCAATAATTTTATTTGTAATTTGTTTCCATCCATGGTTTGTTATTGTTGCTGTCATTTAGAAGTCCGCCTTTGACAATGACTGCCACTGACCCCACGTATAAAAATTATTAGCAATTACACACAAAACTTAGTAATTTTATACAAATTAAGAGAAATGAATTTTATTATGTGTATTGTAATATTTCTTGGAGTGAGGAAAGTATTGCAGGCATGTTATTGACTTATTGAGGTCATTGGAACAATAGAATAACCATTGAAGAAACTATTATTGTTGTGTTTTATGCAGAGACGGGGCTAAGAGGAGCTTTAAGAATTGAAAAATATTTTATAATGCAGCATGAGGAAAATAGACTTAAGACATTTTAATACATCTTTGATATAACCCTTGCTGCTTAAACTCAGCAACATATTATTGAGGAGGCAAATTACATTTATAAAGTAAAAAGACCAAATGAAATCTTCACTGGATTAAGATTACTTATTCCGGAAATTACATTTCTGAAGATATGAGGCATAGCAGGGAGAAAGGTTTTGTTTGATGTAGACTTTCATTACTAGTCTCAAAATAATATTGAAAAATGCTTTCAATAAATTAAATTCTTTTACAAGTCCTTTATTTATTCTTAAATATTCCAAATACAGTACGTGTCATAGACTGGAAAAGATCTAGAAGATGTTGCATACAATAATCACTGAGTCTGCTTTTTTCACATTACTATTTATTCCTCATCTTTGGGCTTATTTGAAGCCAGAGGGGCAGAGCAGCAGGGTCTCCCAGGCCTGTAGTTACTGCTTCTCATTCTGACAAATCAATATAAAATGTAAGCCTGAAACCTGATAACATGAACCACATTTTCTCATTTTCACAGCAGGAAATAAAGTTATTTCAAAATCCAGGGCACCAAATGCACAAGTGTTTATTGTAACGTAATTTTGCCTGGCAAAATACTGAACTATTATTTTATCATAATACTATGGTTTATAATGGTTGATTCAACATTTCTGTGAGCATATGCTGCAAAGAGTAAATCAGCATAAATATACCCTTTTATATACATACTTATTGACAATACCTGATATTTGAATGCAGGTCAGTCTAGTACAAATTGTAAAAGAAGTAAATATGTGTTTTCAATAGTTTATCTTTAATGGGTTTTTTTCTATTTTTATTCACATCTTTTCTGTCCCTTAGGATCCAGTGCTGTTATAGTCTCTAGTCTATCTGTAATTTACTATGTCTGAACCAAGAAATTACTTGCATGAATTTTAACAATATAATCTCATTTTGGGTACAATTTCAAGAATAAGAAGGAGATATTTGGCACTGAGTGGTTTCCCATTATCCATACCATCACACAATGAAGGTGATCACATAAAATTCATATCCCAGTTTCTAAAACTCAGAGTATGATTGCTAAAATCAGAAAACTCAAATATTTTGTACATTTGGCAGGTTAATGGTTATGGCATACATTTCAAGCCAAAGAGTCATGTCTCTAAATCGGTGTGTCTGTGACACTCTGAAAAGAAGCTGGGTGAATAACAACTTATTGCTCAAATATTTGACAAATTTCAGTGTCTTTCCCAGAGACAGTGTACTGATATTTTCACATTGTGGGAAGGCTTTGGAATAACCTTGAGTCTACTATGTTTGTGAATCCCCAGAAATGAACTCTATGACTAGCCCTACACTGGGCCAGAATTGAGAATCATTAAAACTTTCAGACATAGTCGAGCTGAGGAAAAAAAATTTTCTTTTAATTCTAAATATTTCTCCCAATCCATATTCCTCTACCTGATCTGGAACAAAATGCGTCTAGGTTTCAAGGTTTGAGATAATACTTGCTTATTTTATGAGGAGGAAATTACCATATCATATATAGATGCACACATAATTTTAAATACTATCTCCTGCAACAACGACTCTCCTTTTCTTTTTCCAAAACAGTGGCAAGGAATTTTAAGATAAAAAGGTTTTAAAAATAGGGATGAATGTTATGACTATTTTAATGTTATTAAAATTATTTCAGTATCAATATCTTTGACTTGTCAGTCACGTATTTATTTGTATTGATAGTGTGATAGTATGTAAACTCTATAATTTTTCCCAACTATTCTGAAGAATTTAATTATTAACCGCTTTATGTTTATGATGTTTACTTGCATAGAATGCAGAAAACTTTTTTCTCTTTAATGTTATGGAAAAAAGCAGTGTGAAATATACATGAAGGAAATAAATCAACTTGTGACGTTAGGTACTTTATCAGGTAGTACAGCACCAGATGTTTCAAGCATTGTTTGTCAGTTCTACAGAGTGAATAAAGATGAAATTTAATGAAGAGGAAGGATGCTCAGTGAAGAGGAAGAAGAAACTTGAAGTAGCATAATAGGCACTAAATAAAGCACATGATTACTTCTTAGAAACTGAACTAAAGTTCATCATTCAAAGAGCTCTCAACAGTTTAACTCCATTCAGAAAGACGTTTCTGTTGTGTTTCAATTTTGAATACACTGGCATCATTCCTTAGGCAAGGCAGATTTTAGCTCAGTAGGCATTGGAGTTGATCCAGGTAGCTGGCATGAGGCCCCACATAAATACACGTTGAAGAGTACTACACTGCAACAGCAATGTTAAATTAAACTTGACATTCTTAACAAAAAGATTCATTATTTACATGCTTTCGGGAAATCTGATTTGTTCCCATAGTGCTCTTTCCTCGGTGTCCTGAGCAGCTGCTATAAAATAAAATCTGTTTCTGCCACCTAAATCTATTACTCATAATTAATACTTATGAAAATACAAATATTTACAAATCGCCATAATTTGGTAGTGAAATTAGTTACATCATTGGCTACATAATTTAAAATCACATTATTATCCAGCTATTAACCATTTGAAAAAAGAATCCATTCCGTTGTATTAGGCTATATTGTGTTTCTCTAGGCCATACTTATTTTTATGTAATAATGATGTCAGGATACCGCTAACATTTGCACTTAAATTAACCTGTGGAACATCTGCTTGCACTTCATTCTCTTTAAATTAATTCTGAATAATATTTGAAGATTCCTAAGGAGTTATAGTCCTTGAATTCACATAGTACTGCTTTTAGATGCTCTGTGGTAAATCCAAATCCCTCATCTAGCACACCACAGTGATGCTGACTACAGATACCACCAACAAACAGCCAAGTATGGATGATGATTCAGTTCTGCTGATGTGCGCCTGAATCACTGAGACAAAGACTTTCTTCACAATGAGATGTTCTCTCCCTCAACTAAATATTAGTGGTAAACACCTGCACTATTGCTCATTCTTTTTATAAAATCCAACTTGTTCTCACAGTACTAAAACATAAGATGTGCCTTTCTTTCCTATCAGTGAAATTCTCCATTACTTTATGCTTACTTCTAATAAGTAAGCACTAAATATTACTGTATCTGTGTGTCTATTTTAAGCTAATCTATTCATATTATTGTCTACATAAATGTATAAAATTTCTCCCAACTTGTTACCAGACTCAATTTGAAAGTTTATCTTATAGAAACAAAAAACATGATTCAAAATTATATTATGTCTAATTACCAAGGAAAATTAAATTTTTCATATATAAAGACAGATATAACAAAAGATACTGAACAAATATGCACATATCAGTAAACAGCCATGTTTCTTATTCAAGAAAATTGCTTTTTCATGAGCAAATATATTTGGAAGAGGAAAGACTAAAATATGACACATGTTTTTCAATTGTACAAGTATTCACTGTTGATACCACTGAAACTGAAGAATGAAGACATTTAAAGACTATAAATAATATACCAATCAAAAATCTCTCATAATATTATTTAATGGTAGACAATAACTGAAGGAAGCTGCTTCTATTTTAAGAGGTCCAGAGCAATACGTGAAAGAGACGTCTTCACTAATCTAATTTATGTATAGCAGAAAGTGACATTACCATGGCTGATATACTAAGTTCATTACACTTTCATACCATCAGACTTATTTAATATAGGCATGCTACATTTTCTCTAATAGAAGCACAAGAATTCAAATAAAATAAATCAATTTACAAATTAACTAGAGACTTGGAAATAAGAAACCAGTAAAGTTGGAAGCTTAATTATACACCCCTGAACTCTTTTTCTCCACAAATCCCTGTCTATATGCCAAATTCTGATGAAATTTATAAGCTTCTTCAACATTCAACTGCATATAGCAGAGGAAAAAGCATACTACAAAGAAGAAACAATATTTAAAAAGTAAAATTATAACAAAGAATATAAAATATGTTGAAAAGAATAAAAGCAAATACATAAATATTCAATTATGCAAATAGAATTTTGCTACAGAGATACTATAAGAACGTGCTGTATGAAGTTCATGAAAATTACCCTTAAAATTTTTGGCAAAGAAGGTAGAAATGAGAGTGTTTGCAAATGTGTACATTAAATCTATCAAAGAATATAAATAAGAACAATAACATCAGCAAAAAAGGACTGAGGTCAAAATATAAGTATGAACGTGCTGGAGGTTTCTTAACATATTACAGGCATAAAGCTTTATGTAACAGACAAAACCGCAGTAAATGCATACATCTAGAATTACAAAGATTATGCAAATAAGTAAATAATAGTGGAAAATTTTCTTGTATCTCTCCAAGAATTTTTTAAATAAAATTAACAAAACAGAACAAAAAGTTGAGGATTAGAAAAACATAAATTACAAACTTGTACGTTTATGAGTATAAATTTCTAAGTCTATCCTGTGATGCAATAAGCATTATAATATATACACACATTCCTAAAATTATAAGTAATTTCACTTAAAAGAACAATCAAAAATAGATTATCTATAAATATATGTGATAAAATATAAGGAGAAAACAGGATAATATTTCTAGAGAGTATAAAAGATGATTACAAAGGCATAATTACAAGATGAAACCTGAATTTATTTTAAAAACAATTAGAAAAAAACAATGCAATAATACAATCTCTTTGAAAGCAACATAAATTAGAATTAGATATCTATTAAATGAGGTGATTGGGAAAAAAATGTTTGACTAGAATGGTAACATATAGCACAAAATAATTATAAATAAAACATTATTTCAGAAGTAAAGTCAAAACTTGATAGATTACATTGGTGATTCAATACAATGGAGAAAAGTCTTAAAGATGAAAAATAGAAAAATGTAAAAATCAAAAGAAAAACAAAATACTTTCTGATAAAAATATAGATACAGAATAAAAGCAAAAGAAATTCAAAATATGGAAAAAGGATTACATAGAAATAAGCCAAATGAATGAAACAGAACCAATAACAAAATTGATTTTTAACAAAACTTTCTTTTAATTAGGTACGTGACACAGATCTTCATATTTTCTATATACCTTCACAAAACAACCTAAAATGGCCCAACCTGATGTATATTATGGTAAAACTTTTTGGAATTTTTAGAAACCAGACAAAATATCAAGACACTTAGAAGAAGAATATCAGTGTCATCAGACTTTTGCATCATAATTATTTATACCCCCCAAAAATTAAATTAGTAAATATTTCAAGGGTATAAAATATGACAAATAGTATTGTATACAGCCATATTCATATATATATATATATATATATATATATACACACACACACATACATACATACACACACACACATATATATACATATATATATGAGGCCCACTTACATTAGGGAGACAATCTTTACTCGGACAGTCTACCAATTCATGTGTTAATCTCAGCCAGAAACACCCTCACAGACATACCTAGATTAGTGTTTGATCAAATGTCTAGAAACCCTATTGCTCAGTCATGTGGACACAGAAAATTAATCATCACAATAGCCATACAAGAAAAGAAGAAATATTCATGTTATGAAACTTTCCTCAAGTATCTACTTAAGAACATGCTTTAGACATACAAACAAGCAAAAATTGAAGAAACAGGATACTGACTGATGGGGAACATTAAATATATATATAATATATAAATGTACTTAATGTATATTTATTACATATATGTAAATATATACATTTATATATAAATATATATCTCTTTCTTGTAACATAAAACTAAATTATATTCATTAAGTATAATGTATAGTTTTTAACAGACAAAAACTCTGGTAATGTTACTTTCAAAAGTATCAATTCAGGCAGGTCAGATTGCTTATTATAGCAATTATTTGGAAGCAAGTCATCTAATTACAAATGAGATGTTACGGAAAAAGAAGAAAATGAGTTAGAAAAAGTTATTAGCTGATTTTAACATTGTTCTAGTAGGTAAGCAGTAGACAATATTCTTTCTCTAATCCCCCAAAAAGCAGATTAAGGCCAAGGCAGGTGGATCACAAGGTCAGGCGTTCAAGACCAGCCTGGCCAACATATTGAAACCCCGTCTCTACTTAAAATACAAAAAATTAGCCGGGTGTGGTGGTGGAAGCCTGTAATCCCAGACACTTGGGAGGCTGAGGCAGGAGAATCACTTGAACCTGGGAGTTAGAGGTTTCAGTGAGCTGAGATCGCCGCCACTGCACTTCAGCCTGGGCGACAGTGCGACACTGTCTCAAAAAAAAAAAAGATATTAAGTGTATTACGTTAATATTATTATCACAAAAACAAAACAAAAATAATAACCTTCCTGAAAAACAAAATTTGTATTAAAAATTGAGAAAGGATAAAAGACATGATGAAAATGTCTAATGTAAAATATAAAGATGTATCTTAATATGAAGCCGGGCGCAGTGGCTCACGCCTATAATCCGAGCACTTTGGGAGGCCGAGGCAGGCGGATCACCAGGTCAGGAGATCCAGACCATCCTGGCTAACATGGTGAAACCAAGTCTCTACTAAAAATACAAAAAAATGAGCCAGGAGTGGTGGTGGGTGCCTGTAGTCCCAGCTACTTGGGAGGCCGAAGCAGGAGAATGGCGTGAACCTGGGAGGCGGAGCTTGCAGTGAGCCTAGATCGTGCCACTGCACTCCAGCCTGGGCGGCAGAGCGAGAGGAGACTCCGTCTCAAAAAACAAAAACAAAAACAAAAAAAAAAAAAAATGAAATAAGTAAAGCCAAAATATCAATAATATTAATAAATTTACATGAATTTATAAAGAGAAAACATTCGGATTGACAAAAAATGAAAGGTTCAAGACTTTCCGTATAAAAGATACTTATCCCAAGTGAAGGGTGTCAGAAATTTTTTTAAATTAAAAAAAAATTTACTTTTAAAATACAAACTCAGTAAAAGCCTTTTTTCCCACTTTATTCGTTTTATAGTTTTAAAATAAAAACTCAGCATAACCCCTTTTTAAAATAAAAACTCATTATAACCCCTTTCTCTCACTTACTGCAACTAAAATTTCTGATCAAACTACAAAAAATAAGTTTCCTGTTGATTATGAAAATTAGATAATACCAAGTGTATTGTGGTGAAATTCAAACTTAGGAAAAGAATCTCATAGATCATTTTTCCTTTTGAGCTCTGAGAGCAATCCACACTAGTGGAACCCCAGGGAAAGCTTCAGTGAAAGGGAAATCCTGTCTATCTGGCCAGAACAGCCAGAATATAGAGCCTTTGGCGTTGGAGAATGCAGAAAAAAATTCCATGAGGGAGATATCTAAATAAAGAAAAACACTAGTTTTGTGTAGTAACTTATACAAGTCTCAGGCTCACCTCAAGCTAACCTCAAGCTATACAAGCACTGGTAGTCTCAAATCAGCAGCACAAAGGTTTAGAAACTGAATTGAGATTTACATCAACATCCTAGTCTCAAATCACTGAGTGTTTCATGTGCATGACAGACCCAAAAAAGTAGAGCAGTTGAGCTTTGAGAATTAAATGGCTATATGAGCCACAGACAAAAGAAATGAAGCAAAGGTCTGAACCTACTTTGGCTGTCTGCTAAAATGTAAAAAAAAAAAAAAAGTAACCTTTTCCAAAGGATGGTAACAGACCTAGAGACTACATATGGTAACATTCAATTTGCTCAAGACAAAATTTAATTAAAACATGCAAAGACCTGTTAGTATGTAATTAATTACCTTTGGATAAAACAGCAGTAGTGCGTATCCAAATAAGTCCAAGATGTTGACATTACCAAAGACTTTAAAGCAGCTATTGAAACTATGTTCAACATAGTAAAGAATAACACACATGAAATAAACAGAAGATAATGTTCATAGAGATTTTTTTAAGTTAAAAAAGCATCTAATAAAACTATAATAGTGAAAAAATCTGAAATACAAAATCAGTGGATGTATACAATAGCAAAATGGAGATGATAAAATACAAAATGAACTTAAAGGAGTGAACTTGAAAATAAATGAATACAAATTATGCATTTGGAGAATAGAGAAAAATATACTGAAAAAAGGAAAACAGATCCTTCAAGATAAGTGGAATTATATCAGAAAGTTTAACAAATGAATCACTGAAGCGTCCAAATTATTTTAGGGGGTAGAAAACAGGAAGATAAAACAACAGAGCAAAAAGTATTTAAAGTTATCATAAACATAGCTCTCCAGAAATTAATGTTATAAATGCTCAAGAACTCAGCAAATTTCGAATGTAATAAAATAAAATAAAACAATGCCTAGACATATTACAGTAAAGCTGCTGAATACCAAAGATAAAGAAAAAAATCTTGAAAGCCACTAGAGGAAAATAAAACATTGAATATAGGGAAACAATGATTGGAAGATTTATCGATTAATCATCAGAAACCACGATTGTCAGAAACGGAAGCACTATCTATAATGTGGTGCTGAAAAAAATGCAAAAAATATCCAATAAGACATTAAAAACAAGACATATTAATCAGAAATTTTTCTAAGAATACAGTTCATTCAATAGTAAGAAACTCAAAAACATCCATAATTTTAGTCAAAGCATTAAGAAAAATCAATCTCTTCAAAGATGGAGAAAAATAATTTCATAAAATAAGACACAGATTCAGGTTAAATCTTTAAATGTAATTAGGATAGGTATATAATCTCTAAATTTAATAAAATCTTCTGTGTATTACGTAATACATATTGTATACCTATATCAATACTTACTTTGGCCCCCAAACCAACATTTTGTGTAATGGACAAACATTTAAAACCTTTGCACTAAATTCAAAAACAAAAAAACATGCCTACTATTTCTCATGCACTTTACAGCTTTACTGGATATTTAAAATAATGCAATTACAAAAGAGAAAATAAAATATTTAAACAATGAAAAGGATAACATAAGTAAAATGCTTTCTATTTTCATTGTACATAAATATCTATCAGGAAAACTCCAAAGAAATAACTATGAAATCATTAAAATTATCAAGAAATTTGGTAAAAGAACAGATTATAGATTTAACACATGCAAAAAAAAATACATCCTGCATACAAATACAAAAAATATGTATATATATGTAATAATATTATAATAGAAGATAAAATCAAATATTTTACAGCAAGTAAAGAAATTATATGCTTAGTCATAAGCCTGAAATGAAACCTCTAATATATATAGAAAAATCTACAAAATACTAATAAAATATACTGGACTGGACTTGAAGAAATGAAGACACACATGACTGCTTCAACTCTCAACATCTTAGGTATGTAGGTTCTCCTAGGTACATTTATACATTGAGTGCAGTGCCAAAATGAGAGGCATTAAGTATTTTTATGAAGCTGCCGTAGCTATTTATAAAGTTCATTTCAAAAACAAGTCAAAAAGGAAAGATGGACTTTTTATTAGGTGGTATTAGAATAGTCTTATTTTAAAAATGGAATTATTCTTTCAAATTATATAGCTCAAATGGAACATATATACTATTTAAGTTTTAAAGTATAAGAGGAAATATCAAAAAAATTGTATAATATCAAAATAGAAGAAAAAATACAATCATGTATCAAAACCTAGAAACATATAAATAAAATAGTTAAAAATAAAAAATTAAAAATAAATAAATGTAACAGGATAAATGGTTTCCATTTAAAAAATTCTATAATGGCATAAGTTCAACTTTCAGAGGGATACTTTAGTCATCTTTGAATAATGCAAGATAACTGACTTTTTGTTAACTTCTCAGTAGAAAATTTTTAAAAAATCAATTTGTTTTTCTACTTTTCCCAAGTGATCTCTACTCCTGAGTGACCAAAGTGTTAACAGAATTAAACTTTTTCTTTTTTGAAGTGGTTCAAATACAGTCATGCTTCACTTAATGACAGGATTACAATCTGAAAATACCTTATTAAGCATTTTTGTCACTGTGTGAATCTCATTGAGTGTGCTTACAGAAAGCTAGATGATATAGCCTACTACACTTCTAGGCTATATGATGTAGGCTACCGCTCCTAGGCTACAAACCTGTACGACATGTTAATGTACTGAATAATGTAAGCAATTGTAACACAATAAGTATTTATGTATCTAAACATAGATAAGATAGAGTAAAGTATGGTATGAAAGATAGAAAATGGAAGACCTGTCTAGAGCATGTACCAGGAATAGAGCTTGCAGGACAGGAAGTTGCTCTGGGTGAATCAGGAAGTGGTAAGTGAATGTGAAAGACTGGAAAATTACGGTACACTGCTGTAGACATTATAAACACTGTATACATTGTCTACACTAAATGTATTTTTTTCAGATTTCTTTCTTCACTAATAAATTAATCTTAGCTTACCATAATTTTTTACTCTATAACTTTTCAACCATGTCTGGCTAAATTTTTATTTTTATTTTTTTTAAGATGGGAGTCTCACTATGCTTCCCAGGCTGGTCTCAAACTCCTGGCCTCAAGTGGTATCCCGCCTCTGCCTCTGAAGTAACTGAGATTATAGGCACAAGTCACCATGCCTGGATCTCTTTTTATTTTTATTTTTTTAACTTTATTATTCTTTGGTAATAATCTTACAGTAAAGGGGTCCCGACCCAGACTCCAAAAGAGGGTTATTGGATCTCACGCAAGAAAGATTCAAGGCGAGATCGCAATACAAAGTGAAAGCAATTTTATTAAGAAAGTAAAGGAATAAAAGAATGGCTACTCCATAGAGCAGCCCTGAGGTCTGCTGACTGCCCATTTTTATGGTTATTTCTGATTATATGCAAAACAAGGGGTGAATTATCCATGCCTCCTCTTTTTAGACCATATAGGGTAACTTCCTAACGTTGCCATGGCATTTATAAACTCTCATGGCACTGGTAGGAGTATAGCAGTGAGGATGACCAGAGGTCACTCTTGGTCACCATTTTGGTTTTGGTGGGTTTTGGCCAGCTCCTTTACTTCAACCTGTTTTATCAGCAAGGTCTTTATGACCTGTATTTTGTGCTGACCTCCTGTCTCATCCTGTGACTTAGAATGCCTTAACTGTCTGTGAATGCAGCCCAGTAGGTTTCATCCTCATTTTACCCAGCTCCTGTTTAAGACGGAGTTGCTCTGGTTCACATGCCTCTGACAATAACACCCAGCTTAAAACATGAACAGTTTATAGCTATAGAAAAATGTTTTCTTTATATACGTATTCTATAAGTTTCTATTTTTAATTTTTTCATTTTTATTGTTTACCCTTTAAACATTTTTGTTAAAAATTAAGTCGTAAATACACTCACTGTTTACCTAGGCCTACACAGGGTTAGAATCTTCAATATCATTGTCTTCTGCCTCCACATCTTATCCCACTGAAAGGTTTTCAGGAGCAATAACACACACATGGAGCTGTCATCTCTTGTGATAACAGCATCTTCTTTCAGACTACCTTCTGAAGGACCTGCCTGAGTCTGTTTTCCAATTCAGTTTCTTCTTTTAAAAAGGAGTATGCTCTAAAGTACCAATTAAAAGTATAGTATAGTAATTGCACACACTGGTATCATAATTATTATTAAGTATTATGTACTGTACATAATAGTATGTGCTATGCTTTTATAAGACTGGTGATGTCTTAGGTATATTTATACCAGCATCACCAGAAGTATGTTAGTAATACTGCTATAACATCACTGGGCAAATGGAATTTTTCAGCTCCATTATAACCTTATGTAACCACTGTCATATATATGGTTTGTCATTGACTAAAATATTTGCATGTGGTACATAACTCTAATTGAAAAAAAAGGTTAACTTACAATATTACCGGTTTAAACTCCTAGTGAGTTCAAGAATTTAAGAAATACTCTCCAGTAGCTAACATCATTATAAAATTATAAGCAGCAAGGTATCATAATATTACACTCTCTTGATGCATACACATAACATTTATGGAATTGTGTTGCCAGGACAAAATTAAACTTGGATCCGATGAACCTTCTAGATCCAACTTCAATTTATAGGAAGTACATTAATGGCTATGTTAGATAGCACGTCTTTTAGTTACAGGTTTCTAATGACAAAAAGATCTATATCTAGGCAGCAGTGGGAGCTGCACATCCCCTAGAGATCCTAAGATTTGACCAGCTGCAGAACTTGTACAGAAGTTTGTCATCATCTTCCTTGAGAGATGGCTGGGTGTGTTTTAAATGTGGGAAGAAAGGTACATATGGATATTTGGAGGTTAGAGAAAAGCACTATGACAGAGGACATTGGCTAATTTCTTAGTGATAGGAGCCCTAATTTCCTAGTGGACACACGATCACTCAATAGGTAGTACATTATGCAGATTCTTTAGCATTTGTTAAGACCATGTCATTAAATTCTGGGCAACAAAGGTATACGTAAAAGTATTGTGTAATTATATGGGAGTAGGGATCTTAACTAGAGAAGTTGCTTTCTTACATTTCCATTTTTCTCCAGTATGGTTATGTGTAAATGGCTGCGGTTTTAATATCCATTTTGAACCATGACCTTGAAGCCACATTTAGAGGATGGTTAAGCAGGATTTCTTGATTTTCTTATTTATCTTAAAATAATAAATACATCCAGCACAACCATCACACTGAAACCTTTTAAAGATAGTACTAAAATAAAAATATGAAGGATATACCTTATATATAATGATTCAAACATCTTATTAGCACATATAACAAAAGATCTAATAATCAGCAATTCAAATAGAGCTTATTTTAGGAATTCATAAATTCAACATTAGGAAATCTACTGAGTTATATTCAGAAAAATAAGAGGAAAAATATGAATACATTAAAATATGCAGCTTACTATAAATGCAAATATGATACTGCATACTTACAAAATCTTTCTCCACCAAATAAAGTATTAAACAATATGTTGCTAAAACATTTTTATTAAAATAATGTAGTAAACAAGGATGACTTTTGTTTTGAGAATTATTAAAAATTTTAGAGGTTTTGGAACATAAAACACTGCAGAAAACATTATCAACTGGAAAATGAAATGGCACAATTATATTCCATTTAATTGATAATTTGATTGTGTAGCTGAATACAAGGTGATTTTTAATAATTTCTGTGATTAGTAATTTTACTACTAATTCATAAAATAAACATAAAGTTTCAAAAATGACTCTGATCGCTTGCTTTTACCAGTTATATAAAGAAAGTGAATATAATACAAAAATAGCATTTCTACACATTTGTGTACTTTTATATATAAATAAACACATATAATGTAGGTAAATAATTTACAATAGATATGAAAACTATAAAAAACATAAAAAGTTTAAAATAGTACACATGACATACAAAAAAATCATATGCTATGTAAGGCATGAATAAATTAAAAGTACCCTCTTCTGAATGAAAAAAAACAGATGTCATAAAATGTCAATGTTTTCCAAACTAATGTACTAATTTATTTAACTTAAATATAAATCTCGTTGAGCTTTACTTTTGGATTTTGGAAAAATGAGTTTTATACTAATATGATGAATAAGTATCTGAAATAGTCAAGACTAATGCAATAGCAGAGACTATCTGGGGAGAATTTGCCTGCTCAGGTATTACATATTATGACAAATATAGCCCTTTTAAAACACTATGATTTTGACAACATAACAGAGAAGTCAATCAGTAGACTAAATAATCCATTAATATATCCAAGTACGTATGAAAACTTAATACATGACAGAAGTGGCATTTCAATTTAGTTGGAAAATAATGGCTTGTTTAACAGTTGGTGCTAGCATATAAAGATATTCATTGGATTTAGGAGCCTCCTAAATCCAGGATGATTTCATCTTGATATCATTAACTAATTACATCTGCAAAAACCCTATTTTCAAATATGGTCAAATTCACAGGTATTATGGGCTAGTGTTTTAAAATATATTTTGAGGGACAAAATTCAACCTGTAACAGTCTGTCCTCTGGCTCCCCAAATTCATGCGTTTCTCACACACAATATGGATTCACCCAATCCCAACATCCCCTTAAATCTTTACTCAGCATTAAATATAATCTAAAATCTCACCTGAATATAATCATCTGAAAATGTCCCAGACCTCATTATCTAAATCAGTTATGGGTGAGCCCACCATGGAGAAAATGTCTTCTCCATTTGTGGACCTGTAAAAAAAGAAAACAAGTTATCTGCTTTTTAAATAAAAATACAATGGTGGAACAGGAATAAGAAAGACGTTCTTATTCCCATAGGAAGAAATTTAAAAAAATAAAAGGTTGTCAGTCCTAAGCAAGTCCCTAAGCCAGCAGGACAAGCTGAATCAAATATCAATGCCTGATAATAGTCCATTATGGTTTGATGCCCCTCCCTTTGGGACTGAAGCCAGCAGCCACATCCCCTGGGCACTGCCTTCTCTAACACGTACCTCTCTATGAGTGGCTGTGCCCTCTAAGTCATTCTGACTAATCTTTAAATGTTAGGTAGAATGTTAATGGAAATACTAGGGTGTAATATATATTGATTGAGAGTTTTGTCTCAGACATATTGAACAATGAATTGGAAGTATAAAAATATTAAGGAGAAGAAAGTGACCTATGTTTTAATTTGCATTGGCTTTTCCCTTGCAGTCACCTTATGCTTTTCCACATAGGTCTTTCCTGTGTTATTGTCATTATTCTCCTCAATTGTAAATTCTTTCCAACAGTGTCTAAATACGTTTGATTGAAAATTTATTTTACTCTCAATGTCTAAATTTTCAGTGCTTGTAATCAAATGAAAATTACTGAATTAGGCAACATTTACTGTGATTTTGTCAAAATCTTTGTCGAAACAATGAGTCTTTGTTATAATTCCTTGTCAAAACAAATGATTAGTGTTCTCCTGATTACATTCTACATTTACTACTGACACTGCAGACTAGCCCTATATAGAAGTTTGGCTCTGAGCTTACTCTCTAACCATATGCTTTGCTCTTGTAAACCTCCTTTTCTGTGGTTTTAAGAGCAGAGTTTGTTACAGGATCCAGTCCCTCATTTTCTTAGCCATTGGATTAGATATGTTCAATATTTTAGAACACCAGAGACCACAACACTGCTATTCACATGTTTTCAAGAGTTCTTTTGGAAACGCCGATTGTCACTCACCAGATTTTTAACCTTTTAAGTAAACATGCTTGACTTACTGCTGCAAAGATTGTCATAACTATTTAATATTTGAAATTGAATATTTACCCCTTGCTATTAAAGGCATAATAAGTTCTCCCATAGCTGGATCTAATTGTTTCTTTTTCAATAGACAGCATGTTGAAGTTTCTAGCATTTTAAGCCAAATTGATATGGAATATAATACAGAATTATAACCGATATCTTGCCATTTTCCTTTCTGTTGTTTTCCTCACACTATTTCAATGCATCCACTGACTAACAGGAAGGATGATTTAGAAAGGAGAGAAGAAAAAGAGAGAGAATTTCTTGCTTCATATAATTTTGACGTTAGAAAAATTATATTAAAGCCCATTATTGTTAGATAAGTTTTCCTGCAATACATTGGTATACAAACAACAGTTCTGAGGAATAGCACAAATACGTTTTCCCTAAAATACTTAAAATATGTGCCATTGCTCTGATTTTTAATATAGCATTAGAAAGAATGTTAGCTATTCTTATAAAGACATCCCTTTCACTCAAATGCATTCCAGTGCTATTTTGTGAGGGACAGAATGTGTTCTAGCTATGAAAGGTTGTTACTCTCAGTTGATTTAATCTCTGCAACAACCTGTGACCTGGGAAATTCCATTCATTATGTCCTTTTTTAAATGACAACTACAGTTTTTGCCATGAGTGGGGAAAAATGTTAAGAATTTTTGCCTTTTTTTAAATATAAAAACGCTTTGATTTGAAATACATTAGTTGTAAAACTCTACAGTAAAAAAAAGTATTCACAGTAAAATGTATATAAAGTATTAGAAAAAATTTGACAAATATTTACTGTGGCTCAATCACATGTGAGGCACTCAGCCATTTTAAGTAATGTAAACACAAACACACAACAAAAAGAAAACAAAACCTAAAAATTATAAATAGTATTCACAAAGTATAAGACATGTAATGCTAGTACAAAAAAAAGTAAGTCAAATAGCCCTATTATTGTCATGATCTGAAATTATATTCTGTATGATAAAAAATCAGTTCAGTTTTAAAAGTAAATCATGTAGTTATATCTTCTTCATAAAAATATGTTTTAAAGTAGCATGAAAATTATTATAAGTTTATATAGGTTTGCATTGTCTGTTTTTTACCACATACTTAGTGAAGTCTCTCTACTTCCGCATTCATATTACTAAAAATGAATGCATAAATAGAAAGTAAAATATGAAGGTATTTGGACCAGATCAATTAAATAGGCAAGGAAAACTTTATTCAAGACTACTCCAATGGGAAATGAAGGTTTTTTCAACTCCATTGAATAAAAGAAAGAAAATTGTTAAACACTGGGGTAAGCTAGCAGAAAAGTACTGGCGGAAATTAAGGGGATGTTAGTCAATATGATTAGGCCATCTGTGTTTGCTAATTGGTACTTTTTGAAAGTTAGGCTCCTGCCATCCCACAGAGACTGGGAGATAGAGGTGCTATTTTACAGAATGATTACATTTCAAAGGAATGGCTCCCAGGTCCTGGAGAAAGACATTCCTGGCTTGTAGGAAATTTACATTTCAAAGGGCCAAAGAAAGAATTTACAAATGCAAGTTTTCTAAAGCAAATGCTCTAAGAAAAGGAAGGTCAAGGCCTGTAGTCAGAAAGAAACTTTTATAAAATTTAATCAAGTTGAGGGGATCATTAAGGCCATCTTGGTTAGTAATTGAATAGAGTAAGGTATGAAGCTAATAATATTGCAATATAATTTCACTGTTTAGCTCTAAGTTTTGTTTGACCTTGATTATCCTACAGTCAGAACAACCTTATTCTCAGGGTCCTATTTCTATATATTTTTTTAAATTCCAGTCAAAACTTTTCTAGTTAAGACTTTAATTTTTGTTGACAATGTTTTCCTATTAGTATCTTTTTCTTCACTAATTGGTCCAGGTATATTAATTTGGGTTCTAATTTCATAACTATTTTTCTTATTGTTATAATAATCAGTCATGTGAGTCACATATTTTTTAAAAATTATGCCTGCTTCTATTTGCATTATTTTAAAAACCAAGTAAACATTGCAAGTGGATGTCCATCTTCAATAATTTTAACACATTAGGAACAAAATATAGAAAGCAAAAGTTTTTATGACCCAAATCCCTGGTCAGGAATGCAGGATTAGAGAATTTGAATATCTTTATGAAAATCAAGTTTATTCATATAGAAGAGAACTTTGCCTCATTAATTCATTCAACAGGTGTTTATCAATAACCTCTTATGTGTCAGTCACTGCTATAATAATGGGTATTTATTTTAGTAGGAATAAAAACCAGGTAAGGCATAAATGAGATAAATAAATAAGTAAATAAACTATTCATTTAATAAAATATAATTTATTAGGAAAACATAGCAAGTTCGGTAGTATGCGCTATGGAAAAAGATAATGGAAAGAATGAGAAGGAATATGTTTTGGGAGCCCCCAGCTAAACTGGGATTCTAGTACCACAGCGGCTGGCAGTTAGCAACTCTGTCCTAATAGGAAATAAAGGGGAGCTGGACATAGGTGTTTACAATGCGTCTTTCTTTCATTGGATACTTTTTTTTTTTTTGAGACAGGATCTCTCTCTCGCCCGGACTGGAATGTAGTGGCCCAATCTCTGCTTACCGCAACCTCTGCCTGTCAGACTCAAGGGATTCTCCTGCCTCAGCCTCCCGAGTAGTTGGGATTACAGGCGCATGCCACCACCGCCCGGCTAATTTTTGTATTTTTAGTAGAGACGAGGTTTCACCATGTTGGCCAGGCTGGTCTCGAACTCCTGACCTCAAGTGATCCATCCGCCTCAAACTCCCAAAGTGCTGGGATTACAGGCGTGAGCCACCGTGCCTGGTTGGGTTACTTCTTTCACCTGGTAGATGGCCTAATGCCTAGCTGTCAAACCTATGACCAACCAGTCAGGGGTGGGAGTGGTAAGGGAGTGTCGGTCACAGGGGGAACATGTTTATACAAATGTCTTATTTAAACTTGTGGTTCTTGTCTGACCAGCGTCCACTTTATGTTTGTCTAACTATTGCCCTGGCACTGGGAACCTGACCTAGCACTCCCCCAGGCATCCCACGGCAAACCTGCCCTGAGGTAGCCCTTGGCTCTTTATGTAGAAAGTACGAATTCAATATACCACCACAATAGGAAACGAGGTCAAAGATTTCTACTTACAGATTCTAGGCAAGGAGGAGATAATGAGTCAGGAGGGTAACTGTCTGTTTCCAAGTCAAAGGAAGAAAGAATGACATGTCAGGCAGAAAGAGAGCGTATTGCCTAGCAAATAGCAGAGTATATGGTGAATTAGAGTGTGGGTCACTTTAAGTTTGAGGGCAAGTGCCTAAATGGTTCATTTAAAGGAAGCCTTGACAAAGTGGGAACCCCGTCTCCTAGGCCGAGAGACGCCTCTAAATTCTGATATCTGGCCACAGGCTTGAGCCATTTATGTATGTTGTGGCGATGGTTACTCTGTCATGGGTGACTGAGTCCTGCTTCTGGTATGGAAAAATTAAACTTGCATTGAAAGTGGAAGACGAGGCAACATAAAATTATGAGAAATTACTCCCGGGCAGCTGAAAGGAAATATTGATATTTTAAACAGTTTCGTAGGAAGATCTTGCTGATAGTTAAAATTTGGTCTAAGCCATGTGGTTATCTGATGGATGAGAGCTCCAGAGAAAGAAGCAACAAGTACAAAAAATCTGAGGTGAGAGACCTAGATCCATAAAAAGAACGCGTGGTGCAGGGTGAGGTGGAGGAGAAGAAAAAAAAAAGGGTATGATGTTCTGATGATAACAGAAAATGGGAATATATAAGCTTATGTTTGGCATGGGAAAACTTTTGATCTGACTGAGATGAGGCCATGAGGGCAGAATTTTGACCTGAGATAAAATACATATCAAAAGGAACATGCTGATGGCTCTGTAGACAG